>NC_000015.10:21029746-21193490 GCF_000001405.40 Homo sapiens
CCAAGGGATGCGTGAGCTTCCGTATAAGCAGAAGAAGATGGAAACTTCAGCACCTGCAACAGAAGAGGCTTTCTGCTTTGGGGACCCAAACAGTTCCATCTATGGTGGAGGTGTAGGCTCATTCCTACATCAACGTCAACAAGCCATTGAACACAACAACATTTAGGAGTAGTCGAGCCCACCTTCTCCAATGTGGCCTGCACAGCCCAGGCTGCAGGGTGGGAGAGGTTGATTCTGGAGAAAAGTCATTCCTGCTCCCCTGGTACACTCTCCTCCCCCACTGCTTCATACAGAGACCAATGTGATGATGCCATCATGATGTTGAAGCACACACTGAACCCTGTAATCAATTAAAGGGTTTTCCCATCCACCCATCCACACACACATCCACCCATCCACTCACCCATCCATCCATCCATCACTTATCCATGCATCCATCCACCCACCCAGCCATGCATTCATCCAGCCATCCCACAATCCACCCACCCACCCACACATCCAAACATCCATCCACTAATTCATGCATCTGTCCACCCATCCAGCCATCTGTTAGCAGGAGCGAATCCATACAGGTCTGCAGCAACTTGATTCTCGCCTCCTTGGAGGAAAGAATTTGGCCAAGGGGCATGCAGAAGAGTGAGAGACCCAAGCAAGTTTTAGAGCAGGAGTAAATGTTTATTAAAGTTTTAGAGTGGGAACGAAAGGAAGTAAAGTACACTTGGAAGATGGCTAAGTGGGTGACTTGAGAGATCTAAGTGCTCTGCCTGGCCCTTGACTTGGGGTTTTATACATTGGCATGGTTCTGGGATTTGTATTTCTTCTCCCTTGATTTTTCCTTTGGGGTGGGATGTCCACATGTACAGTGGCCTGCCAGTGCTTCGGAGGGGCCGCGTACACAATGGGTTTAATGAAATGTGCACATGCTCATTTGAGGTGTTTTTCTCTTACTTTTAGAGTGTTCCTAGAGGAAGATTATGTGCCAGTTAAACTCTGCCACTTTGCCTCTTAGTGCATATGCTTGAGCCCACTCATCCAACTCCTGAGATCTTATCGGGAAGCTGCTGATGACCAGTTTCGGGTGTTTTCTATCTATTGGGAGACTGCCTTTTCTTGGTGCCCGCTGAGATCAATTATTATTATTTATTATTATTATTATTATTTGAGACAGGGCTTTGCTCTACCACCAGGCTGGAGTGTGGTGGCGCAATCTCAGCTCACTGCAGCCTCTGCCTCCCAGGTTCAAGCAATTCTCCTGCCTCAGCCTCCCGAGTAGCTGGAACTATAGATGCACGCCACCACGCCCAGCTAATTTTTGTATTTTTAGTAAAGACAGGGTTTCGCCATGTTGGCCAGGATGGTTTCGATCTCTTGACCTTGTGATCCACCCGCCTCAGCCTCCCAAAGTGTTGGTATTACAGGCGTGAGCCACCATGTCCAGCCGAGACCAATTATTATTTTAGAGAGGCAGTTTAACAATCACTTGACTATCAGCTCATGCCTGCCTAACTACCCACTCTAATACATCCATCCCTTCACATACCCATTCATCCATCCATCCATCCATCCAACCATCCACTCACTTATCTATCCAAGTACTCATCCATGCATGTAGCCACCCACCTACCCACTCATTCATCCACCCACCCATGCATCCATCAACCTACCCATCCACCCATACATGCATCCATCTATCTTTCCACTCTTCCATCCACACACCTACTCAGCCATTCATCCATCCATCCATCCATCCATCCATCCATCCATCCATCCACTAATCCATGGTTGGGTCCATCTGTCTGTGCGGCAAACATGCAAGGATAAGTTCCATGTGACAAGTCTGAACTCAGTGTTGGAATCATGGGAGGGGCAAGGTGGAACAGGCTGGCTTCCTCACCACTATTAACACTGTGGGGAGAAGGCCGATGGCAAACTCACTTCCATGTTAAGTTTCCTGAAAGAGGAAGGGGAGTGTAATGCTAGAGAGTAATGGAAGCTCCCACTGTTGACACAGAGGTAATAAATGCCTGTCTGATGAGCTAAGACCTGCAGGAACAGAAACAGCCACATGAAAACAAGGCAGGAAAGAGGCCTATGGCAGAAGAGCAGCTGCTGAAAGTTCCCTTAGGTTGGGCAAAACTGCTATGTTTTGAGGAACTTAGAACAGTCCAAGGGCAAGCTACCGCCCTGTGTTTCTCCTCTTCCCCCGTGTCTGTCTGTGTTCCACAGTGATTGTGCAAACTCTAAATACATTGATGACTCACCATTGCCTTTATGTTAGAATAAACAAAACAGAAAACAAATCCCTGATGACCCCACAGGTTGCCCTCTTTCACTTTGTATCTCTCATTTCTGCCTCTCTCTCTCTCTCTCTGTCTCCCTTCATCTGGCCCATCTCTCTGTATATCTTTTTGTCTTATTATTTCAACAAAGTCTCTTAGGGTCCATCTACTGTGCTGGAAACTTTCTTCTCACCAACCATTGTAAGTTGGAGAATGTTTTCTCCACCTTATTACAAAATGTTATAGCTAATTCTCTTACTGCAGAATAATCTTTAATATGGGTGCCCTGTTTTTAGAATTTAAAATTAGTATCAATTGCCATTTTTTCACAATTACAATTAGTATTTTACAAATGAGTTTTGTAACAGGGCAGGGCATTAATGAATTAAATTACTCTGTAATAGGAATGAGAAATTTTATTTTAATATTTTTGAGACAGAGTCTTACTTTGTCTCTCAGGCTGGAGTGCGGTGATGTGATCTTAGCTCACTGCAACCTACACCTCTTGGGTTCAAACGATTATCCTGCCTCAGCCCCCCAAGTAGCTCGGACTACAGGTGCACGCCACCACGCCCAGCTAATTTTTGTATTTTTGGTAGAGACAGGGTTTCACCATGTTGGCCAGGCTGGTTTTGAACTTCTGACCTCAGGTGATCCACCTGCCTCAGCCTTCCAAAGTGCCGGGATACAGGCATGAGCCATCATGCCCAGCCAAGAAATTTTATTTTTAATGGACCCTCTTAGATAGTTATTAATAATGGCAGTATCAAAATACATGCAATTATGCATATGGAAGTAGCTTTTTTCCTGCAAACTCAAGAATATTTCAAATCATCTTCTCTTTATTCTTTTGAATTACATGTGTGAGAAACAGATTATAAGTATTTCATGTCATTTTCCCAGACATCACTATAAGCATCAAGTAACTATTCACATGTGTGCCAGCGATTTATCATCATACTCATGAGGGTTTTCTATTTCTAGAAGTTGCCCATTTTTTGATCTCTTCTTTGCTTTTTCCTTCTTGTAAATGTTGGACTTCTTAATTCTTTTCTAATGCTGCAGATCCTCCTAGGGAAGGATTCTCTACAGTACTACATGTGTTAGAATGTTGGGTGAAAAATTATACATGGTTTAAATAATGAATGAGCCCCAAAAAAAGAGCTGGATGTTGCCAGGTGCTAGGAATAGACAAAATTAAAAAGGGCATTTGAATTGAGAATGAAACCTGAATGCCCCTTGCATTTCTGAGGTAGGTTTAACATACACAGGACAGGAGCAGCCTTGTGTGTCTTCTGGGACTGGAGCTGAGGTTTCTGCTTTAGTAGAGAGGTTTTTTTTTTAATAATTAGTTTCTCTTTTGATTGACACATAAAAATGACCTATATTTATTCTGTACAGCATAATGTTTTGTAACATGTCTACATAGGGGAGTGGCTCCACTGAGCTAATTAACATCTGTATCACTCACATACTCCCCATACGGCTAGAGAGGTTCTAAGTTGGCTTCAGCCATGACGTCAGGTGAGAAACATTCCCCATGAAGAGCAGCCCTGGACATGGTAGAAAAGCAAACCCCAAGCCCTCGCTGTTCACAAAGTGGTCCTAGTGTCTCACCCACCATCTGGAGCTGCAACACTGAGCTAGGAAATCACCGCCGTGGAGTGCCACTGGCAGCGCACAGGTCCCAGCAGCCCGGAATAAGGCGCCATCCACAGATGCCTGCTCCCGGCGGACCACAGCTCCTGTGGTGAGGTCTCATACATAGAAACCATGTGATGAGCATGGGAAAAGCCTGTTATGGCATTCTGAAGACCACAAAGAGGGAGGTAAACCTCTAGAGATGACAGATACTTCAAGTTACTTTCTGATTTTTCTAAAATTATAAAATAGATCAACAAAAAGCTAGAGAAGAATGAATAATTCAAGAACAGATTTTAAGAAAGAAGAACTTTCTGATGTGTGAAAGTACCCAATATGCATTATCATAATTGTAGGCATTGAGCTCTCAATGAAAGAATGACCTCACACTTGACACTCAGAAGGGGATAAATAATGTTGGACAGATTGCCAAAGTGCTCTAGGAAGAAAATAATCCATCTTTAATTTTACAATACCACTCTTTCTACAATGATAGCAAAAAAAAATCCAGATACAAATGGCAGGAAAGTGGAGCATACAGTTTCTTGCTGAAGCTGCTGTTGATGAATGTGCTTCACTTGCACGATCTCAGCTGTGCATAGTGTGTGGCCAGTGGGGAGCAGTGCTTGTGGGTGGCTGAATAATGCATCCCCCAAATGTTTACATTCAAACTCCCAGAACATGTGGATTTGTGACCTCATATGGCACGAGGAACTTTGTAGATGTGATTAAATTAATCTCGAGAGGGGAGAATATGACCCTGCATTTTCTGGGTGGGTATGACATAATCACAAGGGTGCTTATAAGTGGAAGCAGGAGAGCCAGAGTCAGGGGAAGGGTGATGTGATGATGGACACAGAAATGAGAGGATGGCCTTTGAAGATGGAAGAAGGGGACACAGAGCAAGGAATATGGGTTCTAGAATCTGGAAAAGGCATGAAAACAGAATCTCCCTCCCAGGGTTCAGAAGGAACCAGCTCTGCCAACACTTTGCCTATAGACTAATAAAACCGCAGGACAACCAAGAAACTGCTCTTTCTTACATAGAACACAGTCAGTATGCTCACATGACATGGGTGGGTTTGAGAGTTAAAGGAGACTGCAAGGCCTCTGGGTGAAACAGGGCAGGAATCAGGTGGAGCAAGAGGGTGGGTGGGCAGGACCTGATTTTCAGGAGTGTAAATGTGAGGCACTGATGAGATTTCCAGGTGGAGACAGAGGGAGGAGTTATGTGTTCAGGTCTAGAGTGGAGCTGGTAGCTTGGTCTGAGCCTGAGAAAGGAGGGCATCCTCTAGGGATTGAGAGTAGGAAAAAGGAAGAGTGGATTAGTGCTAAGAACTAAGTGGGAGATTTCTGGAGGTTTCAGCTCACAGAGCCAGCAATGGCTTATGGTTGGGGTTTGTAACCCCAGTCACTGAAAGTGTCCTCCCAGCCTTTCTTTGCATATGCCCCTGGGACTGAGTTCCTGCGTTGGGTGGTCACTTACCATTCCCTAAGAGGCCCTAAGCACCTCCTGCAGCCCAGCAACTCCTGGACCCTCTGGAGAGGAAGTTTGTGTTTGTGTTTGCTTACGGAGCCCGGCTGCAGAGAAAACAAGTTTTGTTTTTTATTTTTTCGAAAGGATCTCACTCTGCCTGCCACCCACACTGAAGTGAGGTGGTGCCATCATAGCTCAGTGCAACCTCAACCTCCTGGCCTCAAGCCACCCTCCCACCTTGGCCTCCCAAAGTGTTGCATTTACAGGTGTGTGCCAAGGTGCCCAGTCAAAAACGGGTTCTTGGCTGGGCACTGTGGCTCAAGCCTGTAATCCCAGCACCTTGGGGGTCAAGGTGGGTGGATCACTTGAGCCCAGGATTTGAGACCAGTCTGAGCAACAGACTGTGACATGACCATTTAGCCTATGCAAATGTGGGGCTGGTTAAATGGTCTATGTGGGGCTGTCGCCTTGTCTTTGCATCTGTCACTGAGGCCAGAAGTCAGCAGGGCATACATTTCGGAAGGAAAGACAGTGGGCAAGCTGAGGTGGACAGAGGCATCCACAGGGATGGGTTGGGACACATGAAGGCAGGTGAAACCATGTTGTCTCTCACACCCTTTCAAGGGTCTCAGAGACTTGATTTAGAATTTTGATTTTTGAGAACATTTGTTATAGATGCTAAAAGGCTCAAAATATTTGATCAAAACAGAATCACAGGCCATTGTAAAATGATAGTTACTAATTTAACCAAAGTGGTAATTAAAAAGACTTTGGAGGTGAGTCAAGATGGCTGACTAGATGCAGCCAGGAGGAACATCTGCCATGGAGGGAGTGAGACATCAGGAAGACTGGTGCTTTCCAAGCAGATCTTTAAAGGGAAGGCATTGAGAGTGGACTGAGAGATGCCGGGCTGAAGGTGGAGGAAGATGGGAACCCTGCATGGGGATGCCGAGCACCAGGACTCATTCCTGGCTCCCAGCAACTCCTGGGGAAAGGTTGAGTTGAACAGGTGAGGAGTGGCCTGCTGTTGCCATGGGCCTCCAGAATCCTAGCAGCAGGAGACCCCATGACCCCCATGGACACTTGTGCTGGCAGGGACAGCTGCTTAGAGGGATACCAAGGGTAGGACTCCAGTCTGTGTAAAGCCCAGAGTGTTTGACATGAGAATGGCTGTAGTGGAGCACAGCCAGGTGACACCCATCCCCCAAGGCTCACCAACCTCCTCTAGGAGATTTTAACCTTAGAGTGACTATTGGAGCTGAATATAGCAGGGTGGTCTTGTCCATGGGACAGGGCCCATCTGAAATGAGCATTTCCTTGCCTTCTGGCCTCTCCTGGGGCCCCAGGCTGGCTGTGCCTGCTTGCAGTACAGCCTTGGAAGCCCAACCAGGGTGTTTCCTGGGGGCCCTCATCATAGCTCCTTTGCCAGCAGACCATGCCTAACCATTGGGGACCTCCAGCAAGCCAGCCTCTGCTGATGTGCACCAGTCCACCCATAGCACCTCCCAACTGCTTTGCTGGCATGAGTGCACAGCGGATCACAACTCCCTCTACCACCAGCAAGCATGTGCATGTGCACCCCGCCACCCTGTCCCTGCCAACACACAGGCACCTCACTGTCCTGTGACTGCCAGCAGGAACCTATGTAGGGATGCTGCCACCCTGCTCCTGCCAGTACCCCCACCCCAGCAGAGGCATGTGCACCCTGCCATGACACCACAACTGCTGGCACCTATGAGTGAGAATGGATCCCACTGCCACCACTCTAATGAAGTGCTTTGGCCGGCACCACCTACTATAGTGTTGTGGCCAGTGGACTGGGAAAAACTCAGCCCCTCCAATGCAGCAAGTTTCTAAACTCAAGGGGCCAGAGAATAAAGCCAGGGGCCCAGTCCCAGAGCAGAGAACACACCACAAGAGTGCTGAGGTCAGCCTGGACCCCCTAAGATTTTCAAGAAACACAGCTAACTGAACCCACTTTATACCACAATCAAACCTGCAAGAGTATCAAAGAAGATAAGAGCAAAAAACAAACAAATGAACAAACAAACAAAAACACACACCAAAAAACAACAAAAAAGAAAAAAACATCCAAAGGACAGCCACTTCAAAGATTAAAGAAACAGCCCACAAAGATGAGAAAGAATTAATGCAAGAAACTCTGCAACTCTAAAATCCAGAGTGTCTTCTTACCTCCAAACGACCACACTGGTTTCCCAGCAATGGTTCTTAACCTGACTGAAATGGCTGAAATGACAGACATAGAATTCAGAATATGGATAGGAAAGAAGATAACTGAGATTCAGGAGAATGTTGAAACCCAATCCAAGGGAGCTAAGAAATAAAGTAAAATGATACAGAAGCTGAAAGATGAAGTGGCCATTTTAAGAAAGAATCAAAATGATTTGATAGAGCTAAAAAACTCACTTCAAGAATTTCAGAATACAACTACAAGTATTAACCGCAGAATAGACCAAGCTGAGGAAAGAATCACAGAGCTTAAAAACTGATTCTCTGAATTAACTCAGTCAGACAAAAATAAAGGAAAAGAGAACAAAAAAGAAGGCATAAAACCTCAGAGAAATGGGTGATTATGTAAAAAGATCAGATCTATGACACATTGGTATCCCTTAAAAAGAGAAAGAGAAACAAAGCAACTTGAAAAACATTTCAGGCTATCCTCCATGAAAATTTCTCCAACCTCACCAGAGAGGCCAACATTCAAATTCAAGAAATGCAAAGAACCTCTGCAAGATATTATACATGACAACCATCCCTAAGACATATAGCCATCAGACTCTTAAAGGTTGAAAGGAAAAAAAATGTTAGAGGCAGCTAGAAAGAAGGTTCAGGTCGCATACAAAGGGAACCCAATGAGGCTAACAGTGGATGTTTCACCAGAAACTGTACAATCCAGAAGAGATTAGGGGCCTATATTCAGCATTCTTAAAGAAAAGAAATTCCAAGCAAGAATTTCATATCTAGCCAAACTAAGCTTCACAAGTGAAGGAGAAATAAGATCCTTTTCAGACAAGCAAATGCTAAGGGTATTCATCACCACTATATTTCCCTTACAAGAGGTCCTTAAGGGATTGCTAAATATGATAATGGAAGAATGTTACTGACCACCACAAAAACACACTTAAGTACATAACGATTGCCACTATAAATCAACTATACAATCAAATCTGCATATTGAGCAGCTAACAACATGATAACAGGATGAAATATGCACATATCAATATTAATCTTGAATGTAAATGGACTAAATGCCCCAATTAAAGGGCACAGAATTGCCAAGTTGGATAAAGAAGCAAGACCCAAATGTATGCTGTCTTCAAGAGACCCATCTCACATGCAGTGACATCCACAGGCTCAAAGTAAAAAAATGGAGAAAAATCAACAAAGCAAATGGAAAACAGGAAAAAGCAGGTGTTTCTTTTTTTTTAATTTTTTTATTATACTTTAAGTTTTAGGGTACATGTGCACAACGTGCAGGTTTGTTACATATGTATATATGTGCCATGTTTGTGTGCTACACCCATTAACTCATCATTTAACATTAGGTATATCTCCTAATGCTATCCCTCCCCCCTCCCCCCACCCCACAACAGGCCCCGGTGTATGATGTTCCCCTTCCTGTGTCCAAGTGTTCTCATTGTTCAATTCCCACCAATGAGTGAGAACATGTGGTGTTTGCTTTTTGTCCTTGCGATAGTTCGGTGAGAATGATGGTTTCCAGCTTCATCCATGTCCCTACAAAGGACATGAACTCATCCTTTTTTATGGCTGTGTAGTATTCCATGGTGTATATGTGCCACAGTTTCTTAATCCAGTCTATCATTGTTGGACATATGGGTTGGTTCCAAGTCTTTGCTATTGTGAATAGTGCCGCAATAAACATATGTGTGCATGTGTCTTTATAGCAGCATGATTTATAATCCTTTGGGTATATACCCAGTAATGGGATGGCTGGGTCAAATGGTATTTCTAGTTCTAGATCCCTGAGGAATCGCCACACTGACTTCCACAATGGTTGAACTAGTTTACAGTCCCACCAACAGTGTAAAAGTGTTCCTATTTCTACACATCTTCTCCAGCACCTGTTGTTTCCTGACTTTTTAATGATTGCCATTCTAACTGGTGTGAGATGGTATCTCATTGCGGTTTTGATTTGCATTTCTCTGATGGCTAGTGATGATGAGCATTTTTTCATGTGTCTTTTGGCTGCATAAATGTCTTCTTTTGAGAAGTGTCTATTCATATCCTTTGCCCACTTTTAATGGGGTTGTTTGTTTTTCTTGTAAATTTGTTTGAGTTCATTGTAGATTCTGGATATTAGCCCTTTGTCAGATGAGTAGATTGCAAAAATTTTCTCCCATTCTGTAGGTTGCCTGTTTACTCTGATGGTAGTTTCTTTTGCTGTGCAGAAGCTCTTTAGTTTAATTAGATCCCATTTGTCAATTTTGGCTTTGGTTGTCATTGCTTTTGGTGTTTTAGACATGAAGTCCTTGCCCATGCCTATGTCCTGAATGATAATGCCTAGGTTTTCTTCTAGGGTTTTCATGGTTTTAGGCCTAACATTTAAGTCTTTAATCCATCGTGAATTAATTTTTGTATAAGGTGTAAGGAAGGGATCCAGTTTCAGCTTTCTACATATGGCTAGCCTGTTTTCCCAGCACCATTTATTAAATAGCTAATCATTTCCCCATTTCTTATTTTTGTCAGGTTTGTCAAAAATCAGATAGTTGTAGATATGCGGCATTATTTCTGAGGGCTCTGTTCTGTTCCATTGGTCTATATCTCTGTTTTGGTACCAGTACCATGCTGTTTTGGTTACTGTAGCTTTGTAGTATAGTTTGAAGTCAGGTAGCTTGATGCCTCCAGCTTTGTTCTTTTGGCTTAGGATTGACTTGGCAATGTGGGCTCTTTTTGGGTTCCATATGAACTTTAAAATAATTTTTTCCAATTCTGTGAAGAAAGTCATTGGTAGCTTGATGGGGATGGCAATGAATCTATAAATTACATTGGGCAGTATGGCCATTTTCAGGATATTGATCCTTCCTACCCATAATCATGGAATGTTTTTCCATTTGTTTGTATCCTCTTATTTCATTGAGCAGTGGTTTGTAGTTCTCCTTGAAGAGGTCCTTCACGTCCCTTGTAAGTTGGATTCCAAGGTATTTTATTCTCTTTGAAGCAATTGTGAATGGGAGTTCACTCCTGATTTGGCTTTCTGTTTTTCTGTTATTGGGTTATAGAAATGCTTGTGATTTTTGCACATTGATTTTGTATCCTGAGACTTTGCTGAAGTTGCTTATCAGCTTAAGGAGATTTTGGGCTGAGACGATGGGGTTTTCTAGATATACAATCATGTTATCTGCAAACAGCGACAATTTGACTTCCTCTTTTCCGAATTGAATACCCTTTATTTCCTTCTCCTGTTTGATTGCCCTGGCCAGAACTTCCAACACTATGTTGAATAGGAGTGGTGAGAGAGGGTGTCGCTGTGTTGTGCCAGCTTTCAAAGGGAATGCTTGTAGTTTTTGCCCATTCAGTATGATATTGGCTGTGGGTTTGTCATAGATAGCTGTTATTATTTTGAGATACATCCCATCAATACCTAATTTATTGAGAGTTTTTAGCATGAAGCGTTGTTGAATTTTGTCAAAGGCCTTTTCTGCATCTATTGAGATATCATGTGTTTTTTGTTGTTGGTTCTGTTTATACGCTGGATTACGTTTATTGATTTGTGTATGTTGAACCAGCCTTGCATCCCAGGTATGAAGCCCACTTGATCATGGTGGATAAGCTTTTTGATGTGCTGCTGGATTCAGTTTGCCAGTATTTTATTGAGGATTTTTGCATCTATGTTCATCAGGGTTATTCGTCTAAAATTCTCTTTTTTTTGTTGTGTCTCTGCCAGGCTTTGGTATCAGGATGATGCTGGCCTCATAAAATGAGTTAGGGAGGATTCCCTCTTTTTCTATTGATTGGAATAGTTTCAGAAGGAGTGGTACCAGCTCCTCCTTGTACCTCTGGTAGAATTCGGCTGTGAATCCATCTGGTCCTGGACTTTTTTTGGTTGGTAAGCTATTAATTACTGCCTCAATTTCAGAGCCTGTTATTGGTCTATTCAGAGATTCAACTTCTTCCTGGTTTAGTCTTGGGATGGTGAATGTGTCGAGGAATTTATCCATTTCTTCCATATTTTCTAGTTTATTTGCATAGAGGTGTTTATAGTATTCTCTGATGGTAGTTTGTATTTCTGTGGGATCAGTGGTGATATCCCCTTTATCATTTTTTATTGCATCTATTTGATTCTTCTCTCTTTTCTTCTTTATTAGTCTTGCTAGCGGTCTATCAATTTTGTTGATCTTTTAAAAAAAACCAACTCCTGGATTCATTGATTTTTTGAAGGGTGTTTTGTGTCTCTGTTTCTTTCAGTTCTGCTCTGATCTTAGTTATTTCTTGCCTTCTGCGGGCTTTTGAATGTGTTTGCTCTTGCTTCTGTAGCTCTTTTAATTGTGATGTTAGGGTGTCAATTTTAGATCTTTCCTGCTTTCTCTTGTGGGCATTTAGTGCTATAAATTTCCCTCTACACACTGCTTTGAATGTGTCTCAGATATTCTAGTATGTTGTGTCTTTGTTCTCATTGGTTTCAAAGAACATCTTTATTTCTGCCTTCATTTCGTTGTGTACCCAGTAGTCATTCAGGAGCAGGTTGTTCAGTTTCCATGTAGTTGAGCCGTTTTGAGTGAGTTTCTTAATCCTGAGTTCTAGTTTGATTGCACTGTGGTCTGAGAGACAGTTTGTTATAATTTCTATTCTTTTACATTTGCTGAGGAGTGCTTTACTTCCAACTATGTGGTCAATTTTGGAATAGGTGTGGTGTGGTGCTGAAAAGAATGTATATTCTGTTGATTTGGCGTGGAGAGTTCTGTAGATGTCTATTAGGTCTGCTTGGTGCAGAGCCGAGTTCAGTTCCTGGATATCCTTGTTAACTTTCTGTCTCGTTGATCTGTCTAATGTTGACAGTGGGGTGTTAAAGTCTCCTATGATTATTGTGTGGGAGTCTAAGTCTCTTTGTAGATCTCTAAGGACTTGCTTTATGAATCTGGGCGCTCCTGTATTGGGTGCATATATATTTAGGATAGTTAGCTCTTCTTGTTGAATTTATCCCTTTACCATTATGTAATGGTCTTCCTTGTCTCTTTTGATCTTTGTTGGTTTGAAGTCTGTTTTATCAGAGACTAGGATTGCATCTCCTGCCTATTTTTGTTTTCCATTTGCTTGGTAGATCTTCCTCCATCCCTTTATTTTGAGCCTATGTGTGTCTCTGCATGTGAGATCGGTCTCCTGAAAACAGCACGCTGATGGGTCTTGACTCTTTATCCAATTTGCCAGTCTGTGTCTTTTAATTGGAGCATTTAGCCCATTTACATTTAACGTTAATATTGTTATGTGTGAATTTGATCCTGTCATTATGATGTTAGTTGGTCATTTGGCTCATTAGTTGATGCAGTTTCTTCCTAGCCTTGGTGGTCTTTACAATTTGGCATGTTTTTGCAGTGGCTGGTACAAGTTGTTCCTTTCCACTTTTAGTGCTTCCTTCAGGAGCTCCTGTAGGGCAGGCCTGGTGATGACAAAGTGTATCAGCATTTGTTTGTCTGTAAAGGATTTTATTTCTCCTTCACTTATGAAGCTTAGTTTGGCTGGATATGAAATTCTGGGTTGAAATTTCTTTTCTTTAAGAATGTTGGATATTGGCCCCCATTCTCTTCTGGCTTGTAGAGTTTCTGCTGAGAGATCAGCTATTAGTCTGATGGGCCTCCCTTTGTGGGTAACCCAACCTTTCTCTCTGGCTGCCCTTAATATTTTTTTTTCATTTCAACTTTGGTGAATCTGACAATTATGTGTCTTGGAGTTGCTCTTCTCGAGGAGTATCTTTGTGACATTCTCTGTATTTCCTGAATTTGAATGTTGGCCTGTCTTGCTAGGTTGGGGAAGTTCTCCTGGATAATATCCTGCAGAGTGTTTTCCAAATTGGTTCCATTCTCCCTGTCACTTTCAGGTACACCAATCAGACATAGATTTGGTCTTTTCACATAGTCTGATATTTCTTGGAGGGTTTGTTTCTTTCTTTTTACTCTTTTTTCTCTAAACTTCTCTTCTCCCTTCATTTCTTTCATTTGATCTTCAATCACTGATACCCTTTCTCCCAGTTGATCGAATCAGCTACTGAAGCTTGTGCATTCATCACGTAGTTCTTGTGCCATGGTTTTCAGCTCCATCAGGTCATTTAAGGACTTCTCTACACTGGTTATTCTAGTTAGCTATTCATCTGATCTTTTTTCAAGGTTTTTAGCTTCTTTGCAATGGGTTCCAACTTCCTCCTTTAGCTCGGAGTAGTTTGATCATCTGAAGCCTTCTTCTCTCAACTCGTCAAAGTCTTTCTCCATCCAGCTTTGTTCCATTGCGGGCGAGGAGCTGCGTTCCTTTGGAGGGGGAAAGGCACTTTGATTTTTAGAATTTTCAGCTTTTCTGCTCTGTTTTTCCCCCATCTTTGTGGTTTTATCTACCTTTGGTCTTTGATGATGGTGACGTACAGATGGGGTTTTCATGTGGATGTCCTTTCTGTTTGTTAGTTTTCCTTCTAACAGTCAGGACCCTCAGCTGCAGGTCTGTTGGAGTTTGCTGGAGCTCTACTGCAGACCCTATTTTGCTGGGTATCAGCAGCAGAGGCTGCAGAACAGCGAGTATTGCTGAACAGCAAATGTTGCTGCCTGATAATTCCTCTGGAAGCTTCATCTCAGAGAGGCACCCGGCCGTGTGAGGTGTCAGTCTGCCCCTACTGGAGGGTGCCTCCCAGTTAGGCTACTTGGGTGTCAGGGACCCACTTGAGACAGTCTGTCCATTCTCAGATCTCAAAGTCCATGTGGGAGAACCACTACTCTCTTCAAAGCTGTCAGACAGGGACCTTTAAGTCTGCAGAGGTTTCTGCTGCCTTTTGTTCAGCTATGCCCTGCCCCCAGAGGTGGAGTCTACAGAGGCAGACAGGCCTCCTTGAGCTGCAGTGGACTCCACCCAGTTTGAGCTTCTGGGCCACTTTGTTTACCTACTCAAGCCTCAGCAATGATGGGCACCCCTCCCCCAGCCTCGCTGCCACCTTGCAGTTTGATCTCAGACTGCTGTGCTAGCAATGAGCGAGGCTCTGTGGGTGTGGGACCCTCCAAGACAGGCATGGGATATAATCTCCTGGTGTGCCGTTTGCTAAGACCATTGGAAAAGTGCAGTATTAGGGTGGGAGTGACTGGATTTTCCAGGTGCCGTCCATCACCACTTCCCTTGGCTAGGAATGGGAATTCCCTGACCCCTTGCACTTCCTGGGTTAGGCAATGCCTCACCCTGCTTCAGCTCACTCTTGGTGGTCTGCACACACTGTCCTGCCCCCACTGTCCAACAAGCCCCCATGAGATGAACCCAGAACCTCAGTTGGAAATGCAGAAATCACCCGTCTTCTGCATAGCTCATGCTGGGAGCTGCAGACTGGAGCTGTTCCTATTCAGCCATCTTGGAACTGCCCCCTCATAGATTCTTGATATTAGACCTTTGTCACATGCTGATGTGGTTTTGCTCTGTGTCATTAAACAAATCTCATCTCAAATAGTAATCCTCGGCCGGGCGCGGTGGCTCACGCCTGTAATCCCGGCACTTTGGGAGGCTGAGGCGGGCGGATCACGAGGTCAGGAGATCGAGACCATCCCGGCTAAAACGGTGAAACCCCGTCTCTACTAAAAATACAAAAAATTAGCCGGGCGTACTGGCGGGCGCCTGTAGTCCCAGCTACTTGGGAGGCTGAGGCAGGAGAATGGCGTGAACCCGGGAGGCGGAGCTTGCAGTGAGCCGAGATCCCGCCACTGCACTCCAGCCTGGGCGTCAGAGCGAGACTCCATCTCAAAAAAAAAAAAAAAATAGTAATCCTCATGTGTCAAGGGATGGACCTGGTGGGAGGTGACTTGGTCATGGGGGTGATTTCCCCCATGCTGTCCTCATGGTCTCCTGATAGTGAGTGAGTGCTCATGTGATCTGATGGTTTTATCAATGTATGGTGGTTCCTCCTTCATTCCCTCTCTCTCTCTTTCTCTCTCTCTCTCTGTCTCTCACCTGCTGCCATGTGTCACATGCCTGCTTCCACTTCCACCATGATTGCAAGTTTCCTGAGCCCCCGACCCTAACCACACAGAACTGTGAGTCAATTAAACCTCTTTTCTTTACAAATTATCCACTTTTGGGCAGTTCTTTATAGCACTGTGAAAACAGACTAATATAGTAAATTGGTACCAGGAGTGGGGAACTGTTATAAAGATAACTGAAAATCTGGAAGCAACTTTGGAACCGGGTACCTCCTGACAGAGGTTGGAACAGTTTGGAGAACTTGAAAGAAGAGGGGAAGATGTGGGAAAGTTTGGAACTTCCTAGAGACTTATTGAGTGGTTTTGACTAAAATGCTGATAGTGACATGAACAGCGAAGTCCAAGCTGAGCTGGTCTTAGATGGTGAGGACTAAACTCTGATTTTTTTTTTATCTTGCCCAAATTCCTATCTAAAGAGTCTGGGGAGGCATGCTCTACAAATCATAAATTCTCATCAGATAGGTTTTATTTAAACCTATATATCATGATTTACTTTCCAAACTGACTCTGGCATAACATTATGAGACAAATAAGAAAATCAAAATATTTTACCCCAAAACATGTTTCTTTGCCATACTCTGAGATGGCCCTGCAGGCCGGGCATGGTGGCTCATGCCTGTAATCCCAGCACTTTGAGAGGCTGAGGTGGGCGGATCACCTGAGGTTGGGAGTTCGAGACCAGCCTCACCAACATGGAGAAACCCTGTGTCTACTGAAAATACAGAATTAGCCGGGTGTGGTGGTGCATGCCTGTAATCGTAGCTACTCAGGAGACTGAGGCAGGAGAATTGCTTGAACCCAGGCAGTGGAGGTTGTGGTGAGACAAGATCGTGCCATTGTACTCCAGCCTGGGCAACAAGAGCAAAACTCCCTCTAAAAAGAAAGAAAGAAAGAGAGAGAGAGAGAGAGAGAAGGAAGGAAGGAAGGAAGGAAGGAAGGAAGGAAGGAAGGAAGGAAGGAAGGAAGGAAGGAAAGAGAAAGAAAAGAAAGAAAGAAAGAAAGAAAGAAAGAAAGAAAGAAAGAAAGAAAGAAAGGGCCCTGCAAAGCTGTTCTTTGTGGGGGAAAATTTGCATCTGTAAAGAATCTCTATTAACATGGCTAGATCTTTTTCTTCTAGAACCTCCCAATCCTAAAGAGTTGAACTAAGATCTGAATAGGAAACATTTGTCACCTATTATCTCTAAGGGCAGCCACTATAAGACTTCAAAAGAACTTTGGACTCTAGAATCTTTATCTTAACCTGAACATTACCTTTCTATCTATCCCAGGTCTTTAGACAAACTCAACCAATTGTCAACCAGAAAATGTTTAAATTCACCAATAGCCTGGAAGCCCTCGCTTTGAGTTGTTCCACCTTTCTGGACCAAACCAATGTATCTCTTAAATGTATTTGATTGATGTCTCATGCCTGTATAAAACCAAGCTTGATGGAATTTTTCCCTGCCCTAGAAATCTGTGGAACTTTGCCCTTGAGAGAGATGATCTGAAATAGGAACTTATGTTTAAAAGGGAAACAGAGCATAAAAGTTTGGAAAGTTTGCAGCCTGGCCATGTGGTAGTAAAGAAAAACACATTTGCTAGGGAGAAATTCAAGTTGGCTGCAGAAATTTGCATAAATAATGAAGAGATGAATATTAATAACCAAGACAATGGGGAAAATGTTTCCAGGCCATGTCAGAGATCTTTGCAGCAGCCCTTCCAATCACAGGCCTGGAGGCCTATCAGGGAAAAATGGTTTCATGGGCTGGGTCCAGGGCCCAGCTGCTCTTTGGAGCCTTGGGACTTGGTGCCCTGTGTCCCAGCTGCTCCAGGTCTAGCTGTGGCTAAAAAAGTCCAATGTACAGCTCAGGCCATTGCTTCAGAAAGCCCCAATCATTGGTGGCTTCTACATGATGTTGGGCCTATGGGTGTGCAGAAGAGAAGAGTTCAGCTTTGTGATCCTCTGCCTAGATCTCAGAGGATTTATAGAAATGACTGGATGTCCAGCCAGAAGTCTGTGCCAGGGGCAAAGCCCTCATGGAGAGCCTCTGCTAGGGCAGTGCAGAAGGGAAATGTGGGGTTGGAACCCCCACACAGAGTCCCCACCGGAGACAGTGACTAATGGGGTTGTGAGAAGAGGGCCACCATCCTTCAGACCCCAGAATGGTAGATCTATTAACAGCTTGCACTGTGCACCTGGAAAAGCTGCAGGCACTCAATGAGAGCAGCCAGGAGGGCTGAACTCTGCAAAGCCCATGAGAGCAGCCATGGGATCAGAGCTGCAAAGCCACAGGGTGAGAGCTTCCCAAGGTTGTGGGAGCCCCCACTTTGCATAAGCATGCCCTGAATGTGAGGAATGGAGTCAAAGGAGATTATTTTGAAGCTTTAAGATTTCATGACTGCCCCACTGGAGTTTGGGCTTGCATGTGACCTGTAGCCCCTTTATTCTGGCCCATTTCTCCCAACTGAAATGGGAGCATGTATCTAATGCCTGTACCCCCATTTTGTCTTGGAAGTAACTGACTTGTTTTTCATTTTACAGGTTCATAGATGAAAGGGACTTGCCTTGTCTCCAATGTGACTTTGGATTTGGACTTTTGAGTTAATGCTGAAATGAGTTAAGATGTTGGGGGACTGTTGGGAAGGCACGATTGGTTTTGAAATGCAAAGAGGACATGAGATTTGGGAGGGGTTGGGGTGGCGTGATCTGGTTTGGCTGTGGGTCTCTACCCAAATGACACCATTCCTCAGGGTGATCAGCGAGCTACCTGATGGCAGGTTGGATTATATTGGACCTCTTCCATCCTGGAAAGGGCAGAGGTTTGTCCTCACTGAAATAGACACTTACTGCAGATATGCATGCAATGCTTCTGCCAAGACTACCATCTGTGGAGTCATGGAATGCCTTATCCACTGTCACAGTATTCCATATAGCATTGCCTCTGACCAAGGCACTCCCTTTACGGCTAAAGAAGTGTGGCAGTGGGCTCATGCTCATGGGATTCACTTGTCTTACCATGTTCCCCATCATCCTGAAGCAGCTGGATTGATAGAAGAATGGAATGGCCTTTCAAAATCACAATTACAATGCCAACTAGGCTCCAATACTTTGCAGAGCTGGGGCAAAGCTATCCAAAAGGCCATGTATGCTCCAAATTAGCATCCAACATATGGTACTGTTTCTCCCATAGCCATAATTCATGGATCCAGGAATCAAGGGGTGGGAGTGGAAATGGCACCATTCACCATCACCCCTAGTGATCCCCTAGCAAAATTTTTGCTTCCTGGTCCCATGACATTACATTCTGTTGGCCTAGAGGTCTTAATTCCAGTGGGAATAATGCTGCCATCAGGAGAAACAACAACAATTCCATTAAACTGGAAGTTAAGATTTCCACCTGGCCACTTTGGGCCGCTCCTACCTTCAAGTCCACAGGCTAAGAAGGGAGTTACAGTGTTGACTGGGCTGATTGACCTGAACTATCAAGATGCAATCAGTCTATTACTCCACAATGGAGGTAAGGAAGAATATGTATGGAATACAGGAGATCCATTAGGGCATCTCTTAACATTACCCTGCCCTGTCATTAAGGTCAACGGGAAACTACAACAGCCCAATCCAGGCAGGACTACAAATGGCCCAGACCCTTCAGGAATGAAGGTTTGCATCACTCCACTAGGAGAAAAAACTCTACCTGCTGTGATGCTTGCTGAAGGCAAAGGGAATACAGAATCGGTAGTAGAAGAAGTAGTCATCAATACCAGCTACAACCACGTGATCTGTTGCAGAAATGAGGACTGTAATTGTCATCAGTATTTCCTTCTTCTTTTGTTAAAAACATGTTTGTGCATGTACACACTTGTACTAAGAAAATTCCTTCATTTTATTTCTTTTTTCCTTTATCATGTGACATAAAATTTATTGACTTCATATCAGCATTTAAGTGTTCTTAACTTTACATAATAGCACTTGGGTTGGGGATTGGTGCATTTCTGGTTGTACAAAAGATAGTTGTATTACATTAGGTGTAATTATGACCTTATTATTGTCTTTATTTGAAGATTATGTATGATCTCAGGAGATTCGTATGGGTTCAAGTTGACAAGGGTTGGACTTGTGATGGTTAATACAGAGTGTCAACTTGATTGGATTGAAGCATGCAAAGTATTGATCCTGGGTGTGTCTGTGAGGGTGTTGCCAAAGGAGATTAACATTTGAGCCAGTGAGCTGGGAAAGGCAGACCTACCCTTAATCTTGGTGGGCACCATCTAATCAGCTGCCAGTGTGGCCAGGGTATAAAGCAGGCAGAAAACATGAAAAGACTAGACTGGCTTAGCCTCCCAGCCTACATCTTTCTCCTGTGCTGGATGCTTCCTGCCCTCGAACATCAGACTTCAAATTCTTCAGCTTTGGGATTCGGACTGGCTTCCTTGCTCCTCAGCTTGCAGGTGGCCTACTGTGGGACCTTGCAGTTGTGTGAGTTTAATACTCCTCAATAAACTCCTACATATATATAATATATAATACATATTATATATTATATATATACATACTAGGGTTCTCTAGAGGGACAGCACTAGATATATATATATATAGTTTCCATAGTCTGTGGTGTAAACTATGTGAAATGGTCTTTACAACCTCCTGAAGGGTAACACCCAGACTGTCACCTGAACTCCCTGAAATCCTGTGCCCTGGGGATTGGAGAAACCTTAAAACCAAAGCCAGTGTTAAGTTAGCTCAGTCTTTGATTAAACATGGCAATCTCCCTATACTTGGCTTCCAGGGGTGGGTGAGGGAGAATTCCTGCCTGGAACAAGGTCGCATTACAAAGAATCTTCACAATGCTCATGAGACATCTTGGACCTTCCATCAGAAGCATTCAGGATGGCAGGAGACTGGCCATGATGAGCAAACATGGGGAGAGGAGGAAGGAAACAGAGAATGGAAGGAGGTGACAGCTGACAAGGCCTTGTGTTCCCAGATGCTGAGTGTGAAATGAAGCGTTTATGATGAAGGAAACAGAACAGATGTACGGTACAATATTAAATATAAAACAGTAAATTACAGCAGGTGGCTTCACAGCAGCTTAGACACAGCAGAAGAGAAGAGGATGGAATTGGAAGATCGATGCTCAGGACGGATGCAGAGTGAAGCCGAGGACCCGGCAAAGAGGATTTGGGAGTTGCAGGCTCTGGCAGAGGACCCACCCCAGAAAGAGAGAAGGAGGGGGTGGGAGGAAGAAGGAATGTTTGAAAGTGCTCCATAGAGAACCAGGACAGCCCCTTGGGCCAAGCAACCCACGACCCTTGCAGCTTCAGAAGTCCAGACTCCAGCCTGGCCTCACATGCTGGTTGGTCTTATCCCTGCCAGGCCAGAACCCTCTTCAGAACCCAGAGCCCCCACAGCTCTCCCTCACCCTATTCCCAGGACATGTCTCCTGTGTACTCTTCCCTGGCCCACAGGTGGGAGTTTACACCTGCTTGGGTAGCCTCGGCATCCACACCAACAACCCGGTAGCAGTTGTCCTGCTCCCTCCACCTGGCACAGCTCGAATCTCCCACAGTGCAGGCCCCGTGTATAGGAGTGATTAGGACACACAGGAGGGCAGGTCAGGACAACAGGTGCTGAGGCAGGCAGATTTCGAGGATTTAAGTGCTGATGCTCTTGGAAGACCATTTCCATGGGGTTAATTGTGGTTTTTCTTGGTGAACTGTTGGCTTGTTTTTGATATTGTTGTTGCTCTAAATAGTGTTTACCTGGCTTCAATACAAACTCTATTGGTCATGTTCTTTGTTAAAATATGTATCATTCTAAAAGTTCACATGGCATTAGATTTTTTGCTCAAACTACCTATAATATTTCTCCAACAGAGTGCACATTTGCCTTCCTTCTGCACATACCACCGCCCCCTGCGCTGAGCAGTGTCCCAGTGGGTCCATCTGTTTAGGGGGTGAGGAAGGGGACACAGGCCCTGACACAATGTGGGGCTGTGCCAAGCTTGGTGGTCTTGCACGGGCACTGAGTGGGTGGGCCCTGGAGAGAGGGGAGGTCATTCCCCCAGGGAACCCCCCAGGCCACAGGGAAGAGGTCAGCTGGGTGCATGAGGTGGAGGGTGGAGATGCATAAAGGGTGGGACGGGGCCTGCTGTTCTATCAGCAAAACCCCTCACACCCGAAGGACACACAGGGCGAGGGCATTGTATTCACTGACCTCACACTTCACTGTCCATTAGCGTTCACCCACAAAATAATAGAACACCCTGAGAGAGGCACAGGAATGCATTACTCGCATTTTTATGACAGCTGAATGGAGGAAATTTCTAAGCAGGTTCAGAGAAAGGATATCAAGCTGTGTTTGGAGAAAGGGGTGGGAATTCTAAACAATATCTGTGGAAGCAGGACATCTAGAACCACAGATGTATTCAGAAAAATGCTAGATCTCAGTACTACTCTAGAATACCAGCAGTTTTCTGTTGATGGTATGGGAAGGGTGATATCTTCCGTTGGTGGGCTTTGCCTTTGACATTCTCTGTGACATATCTACACTGCATTTTAAACGTCAATATTATTGTGAATTGTAAGTTAAAATAAAATGTTATCTCATTCAGTTATTTATACATTTAACTTCCATTTTCCTTTACAACAACTTAGCGACACACCTAGCCCTGTTTTCCACCCAGACCAGCCTGTGCTGCTACAAGCCTGGTTTCTCTTCCTCATCATGACTTACTCAGCTTCCCTTCCTGTTTCAGTTCAAGAAAATGTGGGGGCAAGAAGAAAGGGGGCAGCTGCCACTCACAGAGCTCACACTAAATGACAGACAGCTTGCCCTCACGTCTACCTATTTTTCTAGTTGAATTTCATTGCTTGCAGCAATCAACCTGAGGGATTCATTTTCCCACATACGGGAAGCTCGGCCCCAGGTAGGGGGATTTGCTTGGTGGGGGATTTGAACCCAAGTCCCTCTCACTGCAAAGCCCACAGCACCCCTGTAAGGAACAGACAGGGAACAGGGAGTAGCCCTGGATCACCCTAAACTGACTTCGGGTTTAGAGAAGGACTGATTACCTGGGGAATGAGGAAGCTTATTGCTCTGGAGCTCTCTTCTGGAGAAATGTCATGAACGTGCCCTGTAAGGAGCTGGTGGCAACTTCCGTTAATTCCGGGACCAGCGACCTCAGGTCAAGAGCCAGATGCTCATTCATGTCTCTCCAGGCCAGAGGTTCTGGCCAAGTTTGGGCTCCCAGAGGAGTCTAAGAAAATGTGGAAGGCACCAATGTGTGTTTTTGAAGATTTATTTCAGAGTGAACATCAGCGACCTACAAGAACCTGGGATAGAAGCCAATGCCTCCCCTTTCCCTGTGACGTGAGACAGGACCATGTGCCTCCTGTGGACTTCAAGAAATGTGGACTTGAGCTTTGCCATCCCTTCGCCTGATCCTATTTCATAGATTTTGCTGTTATATTCTCTGTATCTTTACAGGGATCGGGAGGCTGAATTAGTCTTATTCAGGGTTAGTAACTGTCTCTTCCTAACCGGTGGTGGTCCTGATAAGTTTGCACATTTGTGGCTGTCCCAAAGAGCAGTGCAATTATGAAGGCGTAAATACGACCAAAGACCACTCTCAGATACATCTCTGATTGTTGGCTTTGTCTGAGAGAACATGTTCTTTTTGGAGGTGGCCCGCTGTCGACACTCCCACCAGCACCTCTTCTTAGGCACAGTGGAGGATCCCAGCCTATATGGCAATGGCAGTTCCTTCTGTTGTTGCAGACCCCTCTATGACTGCACTTCTCAAGGCGACAGTCGTAGCCCAGTGAAGTGATAGTTGCATTGCACCGGGTGTTATTACAGAAGTTTCCATGAACACAAGGAGTGCCATCTATCACACGCCCAACATCAGTCATGTCTGTTGCATGGTGTTCATCCAGTCTAAAACACTGAAACCCTCCTCTCACTGAGTGATGGAATGAAACATGTTCCTGCAGCTGGGGAAGATGGGTCACATTGGTACACTGCAGTCCTCCACAAAACTTATCTATTCCTGTACAAGCCTGGTAGCTGAGATATGTTTGTTGTCTAATACAATGTCCAAATCGGTAGCTTTCAAGATTTATGTCATAGCAGACCTTAGGAGCATCCTCAGCACTGACACCAAACATCGCCTTGCAGAGCACATTGCGGTCAGTGCAGTTCCCATGATAACAGTAGCCTTCTTCCATGCACAGGGTTCCATCTTGCATATAAAAGTTTGCTGGGCATGTCACGGTGGTCCCGTGACAGTACTCTGGAAGGTCACATATATTTTGGATAGGTCTGCAGAGAGTCCCTGGTGGGGAGAAGCTGAAGTTTGTACAGCACTCTCCTATATGACAGGTGCTCCCCGGTGTTAAGTGACAGTCACTTTGGCAGCAATAACTGGCATAACACTGCTTGAAGGAGCCACAGTCACATTCCTCCCTCCCCTCCACTATGAGGTTTCCACAGCGAACCGTTGTCATGGTTTCATTATACACAGGAGAAAGTGTTTTGAAAACACACCGGCCTGGACGTATAAAACAATTTCGTGCATGTCCATAAGAACAGTTACTGAATGCATCTGTCATCCCAGGAAATCTCTGCATAATGCAGGAGGCCCTTCTCTAACATGTGCAGTAGTTATCATCATACTCCAGACCAATACTTCTCATCTGTGTCTGGGTTATTATGATGGCTACCAATAAATAATGTCTGCCTAGAGTACCAATGTGTAATAGGCCTAAATGTGTACAGAAGCTATACCTTTCAGGTTCATAGTTGGATTCATGTGGTGCGTCTTTAATAAGTAGTGTGGATGAATGAACATGAAAAGTATCAAAAAAGGTTGTTTTAAAATAGGTAAACATTGCACTCTGAATTCGATATTGATTCACAGGGGCTGGGTCACGATTATTATATATGGTCAAAAGATAAATATAGTACCACAGATCAATATTTTGAACAATGCTGTCAATGAGACTGAACATCTGGACCACCTCTTTGGAACAGGTGGTAATATTGCCATATATATGATAATATGAATTGGAACATTGAACGTGGCCCTTTATATTGCCTCTATGAGAACTATACAGCGAATTAGATATCCTGGGATTCATGCTGTTATTTGCTTCAGAGAACAGGGGGTCTGTCTCCTCATTGTCACCATCTCTAAATGTGGGCACCGTTGCATTGGGCTCAGCCACTATCTGAGAAACAACATGTTCAAACCTGCGGGAATCCTGGAGGGGTTTGATTTCGTAGGCAAGGTCGTCCAGCTTCATGATGCCTCTGAGGCCCCCATAGCACGTGTCGATGGTGACCATGGACTGAGGCACCTCCTCCAGGTAGCCGAGGTAGTAGCAGTCTGGTGGAATGTAGGGGCCATCCATCGGCAAGGCTCCTTGGTCATCCTGAGTTGTCACCAGCAGATGTCTGGGCCAAAGAAGGTGTTTCCTCCGCATGTGAATGACGTGTCTTTGACCCCCAAAACGCAGGCTGTGGGACAGCCAGCCGGGAAACTGAAGGCCTTTGCCGTGGTGCGTCTCCTTCCTGGGAATCACCACCTCGGAGGAGGCGTAGTGCCACAAGGGACGGCCTTGAGAACACCGGACTGGAGCCAGGAGCGCCCAGAGCCCCAGCAGGAAGAGGGGGGCCCTAAGGGTGACCCGCACCTCTGCCTGCCTCATGTCCCAGCCCAGCAATAATTACCCAACGACAATGGGAAAGGAAAGGACTGTCCTCGGTGAAGCCAGGCCCCAACCAGCTGCGGTGGCTGCGTCCCTCCCAGGGAGACCCTGACAGAGAACAAAGGGCCTCCCCAGGCTCCCGCACCAAACCGCGGGGCACCTGGACTCTGGGAGGGAATGAGGTAACAGTCCCAGGGAGGGGCAGGAGGTGGGTCTGGACAGGACGGCAGCTGCTGCACTGCGGGATGAGGCTGAGGGTCACGGCTGTGAGGGCTCATTGGGAAGGGAAAAGGGAGAGGGAAGCAGGGCTGTCTCTTTTACCACCGTCAATCTTTTCTGTTGCTTTCTGAATCTACAAAATGCAATGATGTGTGTTCAATGCCCTCGCATCACCCGTGTTATTCTCGGTCACTCTGTGGGTTAATATGCTCCTTTCTGTGGCTTACACTGCTTACTCCTTTGTCATGTGGAGGTGGGCACTGCCAATATTTTCCTTGGGGACTGAATGTTTTTCTACTCTTAATAAGTACCCATGTCTTATTCTTTTTGTTGTTGTATTGTTTTGTTGTGGCTTTGAAGTTTTGTTTGAAGTTACCAGATTGTGAAAGGAAAATATCTTGGGCCCCATCAAGCTGAGAACCACTCAGGGCAAATCTGCCTCCCAGTCTATTTAAAGTTGTCCCTCTGCTCACAGAGACAGATGAATATTCTCATGACCTCCTTTGCAAACACTTATCAGAAACTCAAAAGAATGCAACCATCTGTCTCTCACCTACCTGTGACCTGGAAGCCCTAAGTGGGGAGGACTTGCTTTGAGTTGTCTCAGCCTTTCTGGATGGAACTAGTGTCCTTCTTACTTATATTGATTGATGTCTCATGTGTCCCTGAAATGCCTAAATCAAGATGTGCCCGACCACCTTGAATCCAGAGTTCCTGGATTCACAAGATCAACAGTTGATATAGGGTAACTTTTTCTTCTGTGCTATGTAAAACCCTTGTGAATTATGATACTTTTTACTTAGTCCATCTATTGGGAGCAGACACTATTCCTGACCCCATGAGAGCCCCAGGTGCTGTCCCTCCGATGCTTCTGTGTGGTTCTCTCCTGGTCTTTGGTCATTTCTTCAGATGCAGGAGCTGATCAGCTCTCAGGGAAGGACAGAGGGGGCCCTCTCCGGGTGTCTCATGTCTGAGAACTAATGTTTCACATATTTCTGCTGATTCTGTCATTGCTTATGAGGGGAGGGAAAATCCAATGCCAGATCATAATCAGAAACACAAATTACTGTTTCCTCAAAAGTGTAAATATTTCCCTTTCCTGGCGAATGTGGTCACTCCATTTAAACTTAACATGACCATAGTGTGTTTCGAAGGCTGCGTTGTGTGGCACTTTGTGTTCCAATGCCCCGTACTCCCATCTTCCACCGCTTCAAATCCTGCCTTTTTACCACAAATGTACGATTACTAATGAAGCTGGTTTCCCCTCTACGAGCGTGCAGGTTGGACGCCCTTTCCCTACCCCTTTAGGGTTTTCACAGGGAGCGAAGGAAAATATTTGACATCCCTGAAGGAGGCTGTTAGGGTAGACTGTGTCCCTCCTAAATTTTTGTGCTGAAGTCCCAACCCTTGGTCCTTCAGAATGAAATCATACTTGGATCAGTGTCTTTTAAAGAGGTGAATAAGTTAAAGTGAGATTCCTGGAGTGGGGCCCTAATGCAATCTGACTGTTGTTATAAGAAGGGGAAGCAGGAGGGAGGGTGCACACGCCCTGAGGGACGGCCATGTTACCACAGAACAGCGAGAAGGCGCCATCTGCACACCAGGGAGTGAGACTTCAGAGGAAACCCACCCAGCTGGCAGCTTGATCTTAGGCTTTCATCCTCCATAAGTGTGAGGAAATTGGTTTTGTATTGTAAGCCATCCAATCTGTGGTATTTCATTATAAAAGCCCTATAAAATGAATACAGTAGGTAATAGGAGATCTTCTAAAAATTGAAAAAGTCGGATGGCCAGACAAACCTAGACACTCCTGTTCAGACCTGAGCAGGGTGATGGACCTGCTATGGGACAGGAGAGGGGAAGAGATGAACCCAGCACCCAGACCCAGCTGAGCCCATTCCTCAGCAGGCTGTCCCTGGGCCGGAGCTTGCACTGGTGTGAAAGAGTGTGTCTTGGTCTTCGGGGGCTCATGGAGTTGGACAGAGAATGGTGTAAACTCTTGCTTACACAAAAGAACAAGTCATCGGTGTGCCCGTGTTTATGTGAATGGGATGTGTTTCTAGGGTGTGCTCATCCCCAAAGAAAAATTAATCAGGTCTCTTGGGCTAGAAAGAGGTTGTGGCATTTGTGTGTATTAATAACTGCGGTCGGACAGTAAATTATGTTAAAATGCTTATGGGAAGGCACAATGGAAAGAAACAGTTTGTTACAGAAGGAAAAAAATGGTGATTATTTAAATGAGATGCCTTTGAAAGTCACCATGCCAAGAAAGCTGATCACATGATAGTGTTGGGTTTCATGTTCAGGAGATCAGGAGGGTCCATTTGCTGGCTTTTACGATACCTAGACAGAGCTGAGAGTATAATGTGTGAATGGAGGGGACGTGGAGAAAGGGGAGGCCAAATGTTTGATGGGAATGGAGGGTCACTATTGGAGCCATTAGGAAATACACAAGCATGATTTGTGCTGAAGCACAGAACAGTGTTCCTGGGGAATATTGTGTTGCTTTGGCAGCTGCTGAACATACAGAAGTTTCACTGTTCTTAGTTCTCAAATTCTCTAGACTCTCTTGGCAGCCCAGTTTTAAATATTGGGAATATAGGTAAGACACATTCGTTATTAAAAATTATTAAGAGAAGATGTAGGAAGAAGTTTAAAGTAATCCATTTAGGTTATGAAAATTTAGTTGCGGCGAACTGTGATGTCCATTTCTTACTTGGAATAATGGAATGTAAGTCATTAGTCATCTCAATGGTTCATTTTTCCATAACCATCAATTACAAAACTGCTGCGTAATTTCCTGAATTGCCCGCCATAGAAGCTGACCTCACATTTTCTCAGTGAGAAACTGCCAGTCCCGTTGATCCAGCCTCGTTCTTCCCATAGGGGATTTTGTATCTCTGTGGACATGTGGTACAATGCTGCATATCCATCGGCATATGGCCTCGGGAAAGGTTCCAGCCTATCCATGCACGATGAAGCTTACTTAAGGGATGAAGCCGGAATGCTGGGTGTGCCAGTGCCGACAGCCGAAAGAATCAACTGCCTGGTGTATGATGCTTTTATGAAAACAAGCCCAGGGCCTCTTGCTTTCTTCTGTATTAGATTCTCTGGTGAATATTTTTATTCATCTCTGCCAGAAATTGCCACATATAATTACCTAGAAGCATTACAATAAACTGATTTGGAAGTTAACTGACTTCCTGGTGAGGTTAAAATGAGTGTCAGGTGCATAGTGAGACAGACCGGAGACATGGGTGCATAGCAAACTTGTGCTCACCATGGTTTCTATCTTAGTTAGGGAAACTTCTGTACCTTCCTTAGATGTTCAGGCACTCCATTGAGGACCCTGACATAACATTATTTATTGACAGACCATAGCCCAAAGTATAGAACTGGATATTACCAAGGAGGATATACTATTACTATTTTATCTTTATCTTAAAATACACTCTTCCAACTGAGGTGAAAATTAATCCAGATGGTAGAACTTATTGCAGTTACTACAGCATTTTAGGAAATCAAAAGCTGCAGAACAAACATATGGACAGATGGCAGGTATGTTTTTGGAATCATAAACAACTTCGTGGTGATTGTAAAACCAAGGGGTGTCTCACAAGGGCTGGAAACCTCTCAAAATGAAACAACACACTGAGGATCTTTGAGAAGTACTCTGACCTCCAAGTGAGCTGGCTGATATGGAGGCTGAGCTACATGTAGAAAGCCAAAGGAATTTCTGCAGGACATCATCATGCCAAGCACAGCCGTAACCTGGGTTCCAGCCCTTTTCACACGCTCAACGGTTGGATCTTGGGAGGGAATCAAAGAAGCCATTGTAAAATATCAAAATTTAAACCCTGATTTTGAATTTAAAAAGTGTTAAAATATGGTTGTGGCCTACACTCAGAAAATCTGTGTCCTTCAGATGGTTTCTCGGTGGCACCAGATGGTTTCAAGTGGCTATTCATTAGGTTTCTCAGTGAAATTACCAGATATAGAATAAATAAATTGTCACTGTCTTAAATCAACCCATGGGAAAGGAAAACTGTATAAAGACAGCAGAGAGGAAACATTGTCCACACCAAGGAAAAAACAATCTCCAGAAACTGTTGTTGAAGAAACAGAGGCATCACACTTACTAGAAAAATATATTGTATTTCATATATTATGGGCATACAACGTGATGTTTTGATATATGCGTGCATTGTGAAATTATTAAATCAAGTAAATAAACATGTCTGTCACCTCACATACTGCTTTTTTTATGGTGTAAATGTGTAAAATCTACTCTCTTATCAGTTTTCAAGTATATATAGTACATTAGTATCACTGAGGTCTGACCATGGTGTGCAATAGATCTTCAAACGAATTCCTTCTGTCTAACCAAAACTCTGTACCCTTTCACCAGGGCCTCAGCTTTTACATCCTCCTAACGCCAGCTCCTGGTAGGCAACATTCTACTCTCTACTTCTCTGAGTTCAACATTTTTAGATTGCATGTGTAAGTGAGATCATGGAGTAATTTTTATACCAGGCTTATTTCACTCAACATAAAGACATTTAAACGCTCAACATCACTCACTAATCATCAGGGAAATGCAAATTAAAACTGGGATGAGATATCACCTCACACATCTTACAATGGCTTAGTCTGAGTCTGTTTTTGTGTTGCTATAACAGAATACCAGAGACTGGGCATTTCTTTTTTTTGAGACAGAGCCTCGCTCTGTTTCCCAGGCTGAAGGTCAGTGGCATGATCTCCGTTCACTGCCAGCTCCGTCTCCCGGGTTCACCCCATTCTCCTGCCTCAGCCTCCCGAGTAGCTGGGACTACAGGCACCCACAACATGGAGACTGGGCAATTTTTAAAGAAAAGGAATTTATACTTAACGGTACTTGAGTCAGAGAAGCCCAATATCAAGGGGCTGGCATCTGAAAAAGGCCTTCTCACTGCATCATCTAACAGCAGAGGAGGATGAGCAAGAGACCACTTGTCTGTGAGAAAAAAAGAGGCCATCTTTTATTAGAAACTCGCTCCTGTAATAACTAGCCCACTCCCATGATAGTGACAGTAATCCATTCATGAGGACAGAGACTTCATGACCTGATCACATAATAAAGTCCCACCTCTCAACACTGTTGCATTAAAGATTTTTTCCAAATCATAAACTTTGGGTGACACATTTAAACCATAGCATTCCATTCCTAATACTAAAATGTATGTCCCAATTACAATGTAAACTACATACATTCCATCCCAACTGTCTTCAAAGTCTTAACTCATCCAGCATCAATGCAAAAGTATGAAGTCCAAAGTCTCATCTAAATCAGATATGAGTGACACTGAAGGCACAATTTAGTCTGATATAAATTGTTTCCATCTGTGAGCCTATAAAATCAAAATAAGTTATCTACTTTCAAATACAGTGAATGATGAGGCAGGTATGGGATAGAAATTCCCATTTCAAAGCTCAGAGAGAGGCAAGGAGAAGGGGTGCATAGTCCAAAACCCAACATGGGAAACAACATTAAGCCTTAAAGCTGGAAAAAATCCTCCTTGACTGCATCCTGTGCACACTGGGGAGGGGGATGGGCCCCCAAGGCCTCCGGCAGTCTTGCCTCTATGGATTTTCTGGGTTCAGTCCACTCAGCCTCTCTCACAGGTGGGACTGTCAAGCCTCTAGCTCTCCTAGGTGGACTGGATACCCTTTGTGGTGCCTCCAAACCCATATTTCTGCTTGGCATTGTGCTGAGGGCTCAGTGTGGTGACTCTGTCTCTGCAACAACTCACTGCCCGAGACCTTAGGCTGTCCACAGCATTCTTTGAAATCTACGTGGAGAAAGCCATGCCCTCGTGGTTCTTCTATTCTGCACACCTGCAGAATTAACAACACATGGATGCCATGGAAGTTGATGACTTGTACCATTGAAGTGATGGCTTGAGCCACACCTAGGTCCTCCTGAGCCACAGCATGGGCAGCCAAGGAGTGCTGTGCCTGGACACAGGGAACAGAGTCCTAAAGTGCCTGCTAGAAGTGAGGCCATAGATTTGCTTCAAATTTCTTCCATCATATATCCTCGTTTATGGCTCTGAACTTCCACTTTACAGAAAGACCTAGGGATGAGCACAATTCAGCCACATTCTTTGCCACTTTATGGCAAGGATGGCCTTTGCTCCATTTTCTGATGAGCTATTCTTCTTTTTCTCCTGAGACGTCATCAGAACGGCCTTTATTGTCCATGGTTCTACCAACATTCTAATGGTCATCACTTGAATAATCTCTAAGAAGTTTCAGAATTTCCTCGCAACTCTCTTCTTCTGAGTCCTCAAAAGAATCACCTCTAGTGTTCTATTCAGGGCAATCTAGACTTTTTATAGTCTGATCCTCCAAATTATTCCAGACTTTGTGCATTACTACATCCACTTCTACATTTTGGAGTATTTGTAATCACAAAAGCCCCACCTCTTGATACTGATTTTTTTGTCTTAGTCCACTTTGTGGTGCAATGAGGCAATACGACAGACTGACTAAGTATAAGTAAAAGAAATTTGTGTTCTCACAGTTCTAGAGCCTGGGAAGTCCAATATCAAGGTGCTAGCATCTTGCAGGGGCCTTCTTGCTGTGACACCTATGTGGGAGGCAGGAAAGCATGTGCGAAGGAGAGAAATGGGGCTAAATTCATCTTTTAATGAGGACCCCAGGCCTGTAGTAACTAATCTACTCCCTCTATGAGTAACCCACTCTGCCAATAATGGCATTAATTGCTTCATGAGGGCAGAGCCCTCACGACCTAATCATTCCTGAAAGTTCTTACCTCTGGACACTATGGAATTTGGGATTAAGTTTCCAATATACATTCTTTCTAAATAGCCAGAGCTTTTTATAGGTTTACCACCCAAGGCTACATGAGGCTCTGAAGCAGTGGCCTGAGGGTGGCTGTCCTTTGTGAGAATGGAGAGGAGTGAACTGACTCATGGAGACACAAGTAGATGAAGTAAAGGGACTCATTGCTTCATTACATGGATAGTGAGGGTGACTGAAGGCATTAACGGATTAATCGTGGTGGCAAAACCATCTGAGGTGGACACCACGGGGAGCCAACCAGAAAAAGAGGACACATCCCATTAAATGGTGCTTCATCTCCTTGCAAAACCAATGAAAGAAAGTGAAACACAACGCCATAGTGTATACCAGACAGTGGATTGAGGGAAGAGTTTCCTAAGTCGTAATCGACAAAGTGGAGAAAACATACAAATCTTTGCATGGTGCTAACATTTGGACTGTGGCTTCATTGTTTCTTATTAACATTTTAGTGAAATATTGCTAGAAGGAGACTGAAAATGAAGTATGAAAAGTTAAATGGGATTTCTGTTCCAAGTTAGTCCTTTTCAGATGAGAGGAACTAAGAAGTTACAGGGAAGAAACAATAATATCTGCTGAGCAAGATTTTTGCAGGGCAGGCCAAGGAATTACCAAGGAGAAAAAGGAAATGTCAGCTTCACCTTGCATCTGCTCCCGAGCCAGGTCCTGAGCACCCCCTGCTGGCGCTGATCGTCCCCTGGTGTCTGATCTCCTCTGGTTCCCTCAGCTTCCCTGGTGGTGTCTGAGCCGCTCTACTGGTGTCTGAGCCCCTCTGCCTGCCCTCAGCTCCCCCTCGTGGTCTGAGCCACCCTGGTGGTGTCTGAACCCCGCTTGTGATGTCCTGAGCCCCTCTATTAGTGTCTGAGCCCTACTGGTGGGTCCTGAGCCCCTTTGGTGGTGTCTGAGCCCCCTGGTTTTGAGCCCCCCCTTCTGCATCCTGAGCCCTCCTGGTAGTGTCTGAGTGTTATTTTCACCATACACTCAAATAAGATTGAGCAGTGATTCTTTCATCTGTGGTGGTCATTCCAAGTGATCTGTCCAGGGCACATGGGGACTCTATCCCTAGGACCACTTGTCCCCACAGAAGGAGAAACCACAGTAGCAGCACCAAGGGTAGGTCACAGCATTGTCACCAGGAGTCCCCATATTCTTCTCCCAGACGCAGTGAACCTTGTCACCCTCTTCCCACACTCCACAGGGGGTGTACAAAGAGGCATCTTGCAGTGACCTGACCCTGGGATGTTATGGAAAAGGAGACAGCCTGAGCTCATGACTCCTGGAATTACATGCTCCAGTCTTGGCTATATACAGACCTACAATTCTTTTCCTTTTACTCAGGCACTTTGCCTTCTGGTTGAGGACAGTGTTCTACAGCCCTCCACAGTGTGCTAGAGCTGACTAGAGTCGAATAGCCACTTTCTTTGTGCAAGTTTCCTTTCTGTGACTTTACTGGATTTCATTGGTAGTAAGCGTTCATCCAGACAGATTCCAAGACAGTGTCCACATGAAAGGAAAACAAAGGCTGATGGGCAGAGACGCCCTGAGCATCCAGTCCCAGGGTACCTTTGCCAGCTGCCCTTCCTAACATCCAGAGGCAGGGAAGGGAGGAGCCCCGCTGAGCAGTGCACACATGTCCGCAGAGAGAATGTCACAGAAATGCAGCTCTGCTCCCTCTCATGAGAAGCAGCTCATCCGCTGTCCTGCAGGCCCTGGTGAGGAGCCAGCCCATGTTTGGGTCCCTCCTCAGCATCCCCACCATGGAGCCTGTGCCTGCTCATCACTGTTGAGGGAGCATCCCTCCTGCAGCAGGCTCACTTGTGGCTGCCCCACACAGGGCTGCTCTCAGTGTGTTTTCTCTGTGCTTCCAGGACTCCCTTGTGAACTTCAGCTGGGGGAGGTCGAGGACACATGAGGCTGCCCTGGGCATTCTCTGAGCCTTCTGCAAAGACTCTGGTTTCACCTTCGCTAACAATAGCTTGAGCTGTGTCCAGCAGACTGGAGTGGGTGGCACAAGTGTGTAATCCAGCTGGAAAAAATCAGTACTATTCTCCATCAGACAAGGAAGAACTCAAAAGAATTCTTGCTGTTTAACAGGGAGCTGAGCAAGAGTAAGGTGTAGAAAGCTTACTTAAAGAAATAATAACAGATAAATTTCCAAAACTTGAGAAAGATATAAATATCCAGGTACAGGAAGGCATGACAACACCAAACAGAATCAACAAAAATAAGACTACTACAAGACATATACTAATCACACTTTCAAAGACAAGGACAAAAAATGGATCCTAAAACCAGCAAGAGGAAAGAAACAAATAACATATGAAGGCATTCCAATTCCTCTGGCAACAGGCTTCTCAATGCAGATTACACAGGCCAGGAGGGAATGGATTGACATTTTTTAAGTGCTCAAAAGAAAAAAAACCTGCCATCCAAGAATATATTCTTCAGCAAATTACCCCTCCAATTGAAAGGAGAGATAAAGACTTTCCTAAACAGAAAAAAGATGAGAGGATTCACCACCCTCGGGCCCATCTTACAAGAAATGCTAAAGGGAGTTCTTAAATCTCAAAGAAAAAAATGCTAAAGAATAAAACAAAACTTTTATAAATATAAAACCCACTGGTAAAATTAGGTACATGGAGAAACCCAGCGGATGGAGTCAAAATGTAGAATTTTTCTGTGTCTTTTTTGCCTTTGCTTGTTTCTGTTCTTTCATTTGAGTTGTCGTCTCCTTTAAATAACTTCTCATATCTATAAGGTGTTTCTTTTAAGACTCATGATGACCACAGCACAAAAACCTATAACTGATTCACTAAAAATCAGAAGCAACAAATTCTACTGAAGAAAATCACTGAACCACAAAAACAAGAAAAAGAAAGAAAGAAGGAAGGAAGGAAGGAAGGAAGGAAGGAAGAAAGAAAGAAAGAAAGAGAAAGAAAGAAAGAAAGAAAGAGGGAGGGAGGGAGGGAAGAAGGAAGGAAGGAAGGAAGGAAGGAAGGAAGGAAGGAAGGAAGAAAGGAAGGAAGGGAGACAGGAGTCTCAAAACTGCCAGAAAATGGGCAACAAAATGGCAGTGGTTGCTCCTTCCTTCTCTTTTCCCCCAACTAGACGGCATCGCTCCTCACACTATGCTACCTGGCGTTGGGACAGGAGTGACACAGGTCATGCTGAACTGTTGTTCTTATTCTCTTCAGTGTGTCGTTTCTTACTTTTAGGCTGTAACCAGGTATGGGGATCTCTCACTTGGCTTCCTTAGCTCTTGTGAAGGATTTTTGGACGTGGATAGTTGTTCAGATTAATGTTCCGGCAGGGAACCATCACTGGAGAGTCCTATTCCGCCATCTTGCTCCTGGATGATCACTCAAGACTGTCAGACTAAAGGACACACATACACTGAAACTGAAAAGAAGGAATGAAAGAAGACATTTCATGTAAATGTTAACCAAAAGAGAGTGAGGTGGGAGTATCTACATATATATCAGAAAAAAATAGATTTTAAGTAAAAAGCTCTCACAAAAGACAAAGATCTTTGTCTTATATAATTATTATATGTGATACAAAGTTTCACTTATCAGAAAGATACAGTTATGCACACACACACATGCATCCAACATCGAAGTACCTAGACATATAAAACTATCATTTACAGATCAGAGAGGAGACACAGAAAGCAATACAATACAATTAGGAGATTTCAACACCCCACGTTCATCAATAGATAGAACATACAGACAGAAAATCAGTAGGGAAACAGCAGACCTGAATAGCACTAGAGACCAAATTGACCTAACAGATAGATACAGAACATTCAATTCAAGTCCAGCAGAGCATGCATTCTCCCCAAATGCACAGGGAACATTCTTCAGGATAGATCACGTGCTAGGTACTACACATGACCTTAGCCAAAAGGCTGAGGAATGATTACCTCACATGTTAGGTCACAAAGAAGACTCAACAAAATTAAGAAGACTGAATCGCATCAAGTATCATTTCTGACAATGGATTGAAACTAGAAATCACTAATAGGGAAAAAGTTGAAAATTTACAAAGAAGTATAAGCTAAGCAAACTTAAAAGATAAGGTAGAAAATATTTTGAAATAAATGACAGTGAAAACGCACTACATTGAAACATGGGATACTGCAAAAGCAGTACTAAGAGGGAAATTCATAATGATGCCCACCTACATTAAAAGAGAAGAAAGGGGCTGGACATGGTGGCTCTCACCTGTAATCCTAGCACTTTGAGAGGCTGAGGTTGGTGGATAATTTGAGGTCAGGAGCTCAAGACCAGCCTGGCCAACATGGTGAAGCCCTGTCTCTACTAAAAATACAAAAATACAAAAATTACCTGGGTGTGGTGACTCATGCCTATAATCCAAACTACTCAGGAGGTGGAGGTTGTGGTGAGCCGACATTGCACCACTGCACTCGATGTTTATTGCGGCACTATTCACAACAGCAAAGACTTGGAACCAACCCAAATGTCCAGCAATGATAGACTGGCTTAAGAAAATGTGGCACATATACACCATGGAATACTATGCAGCCATAGAAAAGGATGAGTTCATGTCCTTTGTAGGGACATGGATGAAGCTGGAAACCATCATTCTCAGCAAACTATCACAAGGATAAAAAACCAAAAACCGCATGTTCTCACTCATGGGTGGGAATTGAACAATGAGAACACTTGGACATAGGGTGGGGAACATCACACACCAGGGCCTGTCATGGGGTGGGGGGAGGGGGGAGGGATAGCCTTAGGAGATATACCTAATGTAAATGATGAGTTAATGGGTGCAGCACACCAACATGGTGCATGTATACATTTGTAACAAACCTGCACGTTGTGCACATGTACCCTAGAACTTAAAGTATAAAAAAAAGAGTTTGAAAAAAATAATAGAAAAATAAAAAAAAGAAGAGAAAGAACCTAAATTAATCTTATTAATCTTTTTTTTTTGTCATTAAGAGTTTATCTCCCATTTCAAACATAAAGAGTATCTACAAATCAGTTTCAAAAGTCTAATAACACATTATGCAATTGACAAAAATATATAAGCACTTAATTTACATTAGAGAAATAAATATGTCTCTTAAATGAATGAAACAATGTCCACGTTCACTCATAATAATACAAAGACAAGGATACCAAGATAACTATTATTCATTACTAGACTGGTAAAGATCCAAAGTTTTTTTGTTTTTTTTTTTTTTTATACTCTAAGTTTTAGGGTACATGTGCACATTGTGCAGGTTAGTTACATATGTATACATGTGCCATGCTGGTGCGCTGCACCCACTAATGTGTCATCTAGCATTAAATAGAAAAATAAAAAAAAAGAAGAGAAAGAACCTAAATTAATCTTATTAATCTTACACCTCCGGATTTAGAGAAAGAATAAGTAAGTCCTAAGTTAGAATGAAATAATAAAGATTAGAGTAGAAATTAATGAAATACAAAACAGAAAAATAATAGGAAAAATCAACAAACTAAGGGCTTTTGAAAAAAAAGACAAAATTGACAAAACTTTAGCTAGACTACAAAAAAAGAATACTCAAATAAATAGCATCAGAACTGATCAAGGAGACATTACAACTGATGCTACAGAAATAAAAATGATCATGATGTGATATGATCTGGATCTGTGTCCCCAACCAAATGTCATGTTCAGTTGTAATCCTCAGTGTTGGAGGTTGGGGCTCAGCGGGAGGTGATTGGATCATGGGAGAAGGTTGGTTTCTCATGGTTTAACACCATGCCCCTTGGTGCTGTCGTCCAATAGTGAGTTCTCCTGAGATCTGGTTGTTTAAAAGCATGTAGCGTGGCCGGATGCGGTGGTTCACGCCTGTAATCCCAGCACTCTGGGAGGCCGTGGTGGGCGGATCGCGAGGTCAGGAGGAGACCATCCTGGCTAACACGGTGAAACCCTGTCTCCACGAAGAAATACAAAAAATTAGCCAGGCGTGGTGGGGAGTGCCTGTAGTCCCAGCTAGTCAGGAGGCTGAGGCAGGAGAATGGCGTGAAGCCGGTAGGCAGAGTTTGCAGTGAGCTGAAATCGTGCCACTGCACTCCAGCCTGGGCCACAGAGTGAGACTGTGTCTAAAAAATAAATAAATAAATAATAGAAAAAAATAAAATAAATAAATAAATAATAGAAAAAATAAATAATTAATTAAATAATAGAAAAAATAAATAAATAAATAAAGCATGCAGCACCTCCGGTTCTCTCTCTTGCTCCTGCTTCAGCCATGGAAGAGGTTCTCCTTTACCTTCCACCGTGACTGAGTTTCCTGAGGCCTCCCCAGATGCAGATCTTGCCATGCTTTCTGTACAGCCTGCAGAACTTCTTTTTTTTTTTTCATAAATTACCCTGACTCAGGTATTAATAGTAGGGCAAAAACAGACTCATACATGGAGACGACTATAAATCATTATTGAATAAACACCAACACACTGGATAACCTAGAAGAAATGGGTAAATTCCTCAAAACATACATTCTACCAAGACTGAATCATAAAGAAATAGAAAACCTGAAGAGACCAAAAATGAACAAGGAGATTGAAACAGCAATCAAAAATCTCCCAATCAAGAAGATTTGAAAATCAAGTTCAAGTGGTTTCTCCAGTGAATTCTACCAAATGTTTAAAGAAGAACTAAAACTAATAACTCTAAACTCTCCTAGAAAGTTAAAGGAACACTTTCAAAATATTTTTATGTGAGCACTCTCAGTCTGATACCAAAGACAGGCAAAGGCCATTTAAGAAAAGAGAACTACAGTTCATATCCCTAATTTGTATAGGTACAAAATTCAACAAAACCCAGCAAATCAAATTCAACAGCACAATAAAAGGAACCTATCCCACCACCAGAAATGCATGATAAAGTGGGATACATCTCTGAGATGTTCCTGTTTGAAACACAAAATCAAACATCTTTGTAGTAACTCTAAGAGCTGTAGCCTGGCCTGGCACGGTGGCTCAAACCTGTAATCCCAGCACTTTGGGAGGCCAGCGTGGGCGGATCACCTGAAGTCGGGAGTTCGAGACCAGCCTGACCAACATGGAGAAACCCTGTCTCTACTAAAAATACAACATTGGCAGAGTGTGGTGGCGCATGCCTGTAATCACAGCTACTTGGAGGGCTAAGGCAGGAGAACAGCTTGAACCAGGGAGGCTGAGGTTGCAGTGAGCGGAGATCTTGCCATTGCACTCCAGCCTGGGCAACTCCATCTCAAAAACAAACAAACAAACAAACAAACAAACAAACAAACAAACACCTGTAGCCTTTTGGCAAGGAGATGCTTCAAGCCATTCTGAATGTAGTCACACCATAAATAACACATACCCAAACTCCAAGTGGATAATTCTTGGGTTAAATCATTTTAACTGTGTTCAAAGTATTTTTGAGCTTTGGTTTCTCCCCAGGGTTACCATCACTCTTTTACCAGCACGATGTTGTTGACTGGTCACAACTGATGCAACGACAACCACAGCTGTGACTTTAGATTTTACCATCAGATGTTGATTGGAGACAATAACCAATTACCATACACCTCAAGATTCGTGGAGAAATCATGGTTTCATGGAGAAATCAAGATAACATCTACTTGAGCTCATCTGGTCCCACCAAGCATGTATCTTGAGAGCTTCATAAATTACCAGAGTTAGCAAACAAATTTACAAGAAAAAAACAACGCCATCAAAAAGTGGGCGAAGGATATGAATAGACACTTCTCAAAAGAAGACATTTATGCAGCCAAAAGACACATGAAAAAATGCTCCTCATCACTAGCCATCAGAGAAATGCAGATCAAAACCACAATGAGATACCATCTCACACCAGTTAGAATGGCGATCATTAAAAAGTCAGGAAACAACAGGTGTTGGAGAGGATGTGGAGAAATAGGAACACTTTTACACTGCTGGTGGGACTGTAAACTAGTTCAACCATTGTGGAAGTCAGTGTGGCGATTCCTTAGGGATCTAGGACTAGAAATACCATTTGGCCCAGCCATCCCATTACTGGGTATATACCCAAAGGACTATAAATCACGCTGCTATAAAGACACATGCACACGTATGTTTATTGTGGCACTGTTCACAATAGCAAAGACTTGGAACCAACCTAAATGTCCAGCAATGATAGACTGGATTAAGAAAATGTGGCACATATACACCATGGAATACTATGCAGCCATAAAAAAGGATGAGTTCATGTCCTTTGTAGGGACATGGATGAGACTGGAAACCAACATTCTCAGCAAACTATCGCAAGGACAAAAAATCAAACACCACGTGTTCTCGCTCAGAGGTGGGAATTGAACAAAGAGAACACTTGGACACAGGAAGGGGAACGTCACACACTGGGGCCTGTAGTGGTGTGGGGGGAGGGGGGGGGATAGCACTAGGAGATATACCTAATGTAAATGACGAGTTAATGGGTGCAGCACACCAATGTGGCACATGTATACATATGTAACAAACCTGCACATTGTGCACGTATACCCTAGAACTTAAAGTATAATAAAAATAAAAGAAAAAAGAAAAACAAAGAAATTATCAGAGTTAGTTACACAACCAGATTTTTCTATTATTTTAAATTTAAAATCAGGAGTTAAACATTCATATTCTGTAATGGCTTTCTGAATGCCTCCAGAGCTTGATCACTTGAATGTTTAAATAGGATTATAACCTAGGTTACAGCGACTAGTTTTGAATAATAATCTGCTGGAGTATGCTCTTTCACTTCCTTACTACCTAATTTGTGTGGGTGCCAATCTTCACATCAGCCAGCACAGGGAAAGGAGGTGTGTATTTAAAGGTTCCTTAACATTGTCCATCTTTTTTGGTGATGATTATGTTCTACTTGTTTTCAATGTTTTCTGCTGTGTACATTAAGAGTGTACAACATGGTGTTTAGATATACACATGCATAGTAAAAAGGTTACCACAACCTAGCAGCAAATTAACCAATCAATTTCCTTTTATGGTTACCGTTTTGTAGCAGGAGAAACTAAATTCTACTCTTTTAGCAAATGTTCAGTATACAATAAAATATAACTACAGCCTACCTGCTGCACACAAGAGCTCTTGATTTTATAACTGCAAGCTCTTTCTTGTGTAGCGTCTGCATAACTGCAAACTCTAACTTCTGTAGCTTCTGCGTGACTGCAAATGTGTTAACTTTCACCTATTTCTCCCCATTTCCTACCTCTCCACACCCCTGGTAGCCATCATTTCACTCTCTGTTTCTATGGATTTGATATTTTTAAAGATTTTACATGTAAGTGAGAACTTGCTGTATTTTTATCTTGTGTCTGGCTCATTTCACTTAGCACTACGTCCTCTGGATCTATCCATGTTGTTGTAAATGACAGTCGATCTCCTTCCTTCTTGTCCAGTATTGGGGTATGTTTCATCAAGTCTTCTTTTTCCCTGAAAACATCCCCAAATCATGCACTATTTCAACACTTACCTTCTAGATATCAGTCTCTTTGTCTATTTTTGAGATTTGGCTAGCTTACACATTCTAGTCACTGGCTTAAATTCTACTATTCAGCGTGGGTTTACTTCAGCTGATGGTGATGGTACCTCCTTCTCCATAACATGCAGTTTCAGTTTTGAGATGTGATCCATCAGCACATATTGTGAGGCTCACATTACCAATGGGAGTCTGTAATACACCTAAGCAATATGCAGGCAGTTTCCTCACTAAGATGAGACGGGGTGAGCACAGCTTGATATTCTGCCACGCCTCCTGCCTGTCTCACTACTCACTACACACTAAATTTGAACTCACATGAAGTTCAGGTTAATGTTTCAATCTGTTTGGTTTAATTTAATTTTTACTTCAAGATTATTTCCATTATTATATGTGGCTATTTCAGTACAAATTGAAGGAAAGGCAACTTTTATTGCCTTTATTTATGAGGCTTTATTTATGGGCATGATGACAGCAGTTTTAAAAGTCACATTCCGACATAGTGATGGGCTGGATGAAGAGAGGGCATTCCCTCTGAAATGCTCTTCGGAAGGATCAGAAATGCCTCAATCGACCAACTCTCCTGTCCTCATGACTAGAGCTGTGTCACATCTTCAGAGAGACACACATCCGTGGTAGGAAGGATAAGATTACATGGATGAATCTGGCTGTTTTCTAATGTTTTGCCTGAGATGAATCCAAATATATGGGGAATGGTTATTTTTATTATTTTGGGATTTGTAAGCAATGGCTGAAAACAAGAATACTTTTTAAGATGACATATTATTTTTGTGACATTCTGTTATTTCATTGTAGAGATTGACAATTACATTTTCTTTTTCAAAAAATAAATTGTATTATGTATATCTAAGACATACAACATGATATGGAATAAATATATACAGTAAAATGATGACTATAGTGAAATAAATTAATGCAGCCCTCAACTTACAGATTTACCCACCTCCCCCATTTGGCAAGAACAGCTATAACCTCAGTTAGCAAAGTCCTGGATGCAATGCACCCTTATTAACTTCCTCATGTTGCACGTTGGATCTGTGGCAGCTTCCAGATGGGAAAGCCTCAAAGAGTCAGACGTGACGATATGGGGGTGCTGCATCTGAGCACACAGCTCCCTGCAATCCTCTCTGTTCCCAGGTGTCCTGTCCCAGGTGCAGCCGTAGGAGGGGCAAAGCCCTCGCAGGCAATCTCCGTGTCCCATGCTGCTTCCCGCTGCTCTGTTACCAGGGGTTACTCAGCGGGGGTGGATCCCCCGACCTGCAGGGAAAGGTTGGAATGCAATGGATTGCTCACCTCTGTTATGGAGGGAGCATATAGTTTATCCCTACCATCAAAGTTGAGTATCCATCTCCAGAGATGCATTCAGGATACATCCGGTTCTCCTTGCAGCTGAGTTTTGTGACTACTGAGGACACAGCCCTGTATGACTGTGTAAGAGACACAGAGAGGAGATCCCAGTGTGGGCCCAGACACAAACCTCACTGCAGGGGTGCCTGGGACCTGGATGGCAGGGGCCCCCAGGGCCCAGCCTCAGGGCATATGCAACCAAGGAGGGCATATGGGGAGGGAATCATCACCCAGGGTTTCCTTTCCTTAATGAACAGCATCTGAGCCATGGAACCTCTGCTTTATATCTGGGCTACGGAGTGGCCTGAGGCACCTGAGATGCAAGCACAATGGAGATGTTTAAGATTCTGTATGAGCATATGTGACATCACAGTTCTTTTTCCTCATCTCTCGGATTTCACTGAAACTGTGAAGAGAACTGTCATCCTACTGGCACTGTGTGCTGTGCAGGAAATTTCTAAAATATGGTAACCATCATGAGGGATGCATTCGTGGCTGCACTGTGCTGGGAAGAGTCACACCAGGGAGAAATCCTGTGAGGAACCCTGGACTCCACTGGCTGTGCCCAGCACAGCTGTGAAAGACCCAGTTGATGTCCAAGAAATGAGAATGCAAACATCTGCCTCCAGCACATAGGAAATTACAGCAAACGATTCCATGTCCCGTGGTCCCTCTATCCCCAAATTCTTTCCCTTTTCCCAAAATCAAGGAGGAGAACTGGAGTTTCCAGTCCATAGCCTGAGCCAGCCACCACGTGTGTGTCCCCAGCCTTTCCCAGAGCTGCCTGAGGGGCTGGACAAGACCTGCTCCCTTCCCTCCTGCTCACACAGCTGCACAGGGGAGCTCCTGCAGGCTGTTAGCATCCCAGTTTCCAAACAGCTTTCATATCCACAGGATTCATTTCTTGCTGTTACTATTGTTATTTTGCCTGAGCATTCTCATGACTGCATCACTTGTCAGAGACACGTGCCCTGCACTGAAACCCCACTCTCTGCTTTCCACAAAGATGGAGTTCCTTAGACCTTCATCTGCTAGAAGGATCTGATGTCTTGTCCTTACACTGGCCAAGCATTGTCTGATATGCCCCAGTTGGCACACAGACATTATGGATTATTTGCACCTGTGTGGGAATGGTCTATAATTGGGACACGTGTCTAGACTCAAAGATGCCTGGATGGTCTATAATTGGGACATGTGTCTAGACTCAAAGATGGCTGGATGGTCTATAATTGGGACACGTGTCTAGACTCAAAGATGCCTGGATGGTCTATAATTTGGGACATGTGTCTAGACTCAAAGATGCCTGGATGGCCTATAATTGGGAACCGTGTCTAGACTCAAAGATGCCTGAATGGTCTATAATTGGGACACGTGTCTAGACTCAACGATGCCTGGATGGAAAAGGTGCAGGCTGCTCCACTGATGTCACCTGTTTCATCATAGTTTTATGATTTAATAAAAGTCATATTTTTTTCATTTTTGCACATCAAATTTTTTTCTGTGTTCCATATTCCTAAGCCCATCTTTGAGCTCACAGCCCTTTCCCAAGAAATCAACTTCTAGACCTCCCTCTTCTCGGGGCTCCGAGGTGATTTCTGAGTGGCATCCTCTCCACCTCCCTGCTGGGAACAGAGCCAGTCGCAGGGCTCATGGGCAGCTTTAGAATGCCTGCTACTCCGGGGTGTCCCCCTGCTTCTCACTGGAGAAGAGGCCTCTGGGGTGGTCACAGCCTCTTTCTCCACATGAATCCTGAGAGTTCTTCCTGAGCTACACAGCTGGGGGAAGACGGCCCTAAAAGACGTGAAAAGAGAGACATGGGAAGTGAGGTGTCTCAGCTCTTGTCTCCCCTGGTTGGTGTGGCCTGACCTCACCAGAGCCCCAGCCTAACCCACCTGACCTGTCCCCAGGAGCTGTACTGAGCGATGGCTGCACCTGCTCAGTTACCTGTGGGGCCCAGTGCCTCTGAGAGAGGTGCCCAGTGAGGGCTCTGCAGGGCTCCCCCCGAGCAGGAGCTGGGCTGAGGTAAATCAGCAGGAAGGAGGGGCTGCCCAGGCCCCGGGGAGGCAGGCAGCGTGGAGAGGAGACAGAGGCGCACTGGGAGGGAGCAAGCCAGTCAGGACCACCCTCTCAGCTCTGAGAAATGAGCTATGCTCACGGAATGCTCACACTGACCACTGAAAGACTTGACTATGATGATGACTCTCCCTGTGTTAGCAGGTGGGTGTAAGCACCTGCTTCCCAGGTTCAAGCCATTCTCCTGCCTCAGCCTCCTGAGTACCTGGAATTACAGGCACCTGCCACCACGCCTGGCTAATTTTTTTGTATTTTTAGTAGAGATGGGGTTTCACCGTTCACCATGGTGGTCAGGCTGGTCTCGAACTCCTGACCTCAGGTGATCCACCTGTCTCAGCCTCCCAAAGTGCTGGGATTGTAGGTGCTAGCCACTGCACCAGCCTCAACACAACTCTTTTAGGGTCAATATCTTGAGACCCACAAGGAATTTCCTTTGAGCAAATTCTGTGGGAGGTATGTAGCCTTTTATCTTTATAGTTATGTATTTAGGAAAAAAAAAAAAATGAGAGACAGGTTTGTGTGACACAGTTCCCAGCTAGCCTTTTCCCTGTAGCGTAGTGAGTCTGAGATCCCAAGATTTTATTTTTCTTTTATAATATAAACATGAAATAATAAGAAATGTATATTTGTAAGATCTGAGAGCTACAGTGTAAAAGAAAATAACACAGAAAAAGAATACACACACTCGCACACACACACATACACACAAACACACATATATGGTCTCTGTCCCTGTCTCCTGGTGCACAGCTCCTGAAACCCTTGGAATCTCCCAAGTGATGTGTCTTTATGGATGCTAATGAGACGACTGATTTCTGGGGACTCCCAAAGGACTGGTGGCCAGGGGAACCAACCTCGTGATTACGGGGTTAAACTTTTCAGCCCCCTATCCCCTGATTTCCAGGGATGGGGAGGAGCTGAAGGTTGAGTTGATCACCAGTGGTCAATGATTTAATCAGTCGTGCTTATGTGGCCATCGTGGGTGGCTCATGTCTGAAATCCCAGCATTTTGGGAGGCCAAGGCGGGAAGATCACTTGAGGCCAGGAGTTTGAGACCAGCCTGGGCAACATACTGAGAATTCATCTCTACAAATAAAAAAAAAATAGCCAGGCATGGTAGTGCATGCCTGTGGTCCAGCTACTCAGGAGGCAGAGGTGGGATGATCAATTGAGTCCAGGAGATCAAGGCTGCAGCCAGCTATGATTGCAGCACTGCATGCCAGCTTGGGTGACAGAGCTAGACCCCGTCTCAAAAACAAAACAAAATGAAACGAAACAAAAAACAAACTAAAAACCAAATCATGCCTATGTCATGAAGTCATGAAACTCAGGACAGCGGCCGGGCATAGTGGCTCATGCCTGTAATCCCTGCACTTTGGGAGGCCAAGGCAGGCAGATCACTTGAGGTCAGGAGTTTGAGACCAGCTTAGGCAACATAGTGAGATTCTGTCTCTATTTTTTTTTAATTAAAAAAAAAGATAAAGTAAACATGGGGCAGAGGAAGCAGTCAGATATGCATTTGTCCCAGGTGAGCAGAGGGATGACCTTGAGTTCTGTCCTTTGTCCTGCAAGGATAAGCTATCAATTTACATTGTCAGGGAAATTCAACAGAACTGTTCTAAGGTCAAAATCTTGAGGCCCACGAGGAATTTCTTCATGGGCAAATTGTGAGGGAAGTATGTAGCTTTTTAAAAAAATCTTTGTAGGTATCTATTTAGGAACAAAATGGGGGAGGCAGGTTTGCATGATCCAGTTTCCAGCTTGACTTTTGCTTTTGGCTTAGTGAGTTGGTGGTCCTGAGATTTCTTTGCCTTTAGCAGTCATTATTCAGGGAAGAGGGTATGGTCTTGATACTCAAAATTTCTTAGGCGAGAAATCTACCAGGGTTTGGATGAGACCATACATTGCTCATTCAGTATCTCAAACCCAGAAAGATGAGTTACTGACATTGAATGTGTGAAAGGAAAACAAACAGCTCTGTTGAATTTTTTGAATTTCATCTAAAACAGTTCTGGGTTTTGTTTTGTTTAGTTTTTGAGACAGAGTCTTGCTCTATTGCCCAGGCTAGAGTGCAATGGTGTGATCTTGGCTCACTGCAACCTCTGCCTCCTGGTTCAAGCAATTCTCCTGCCTCAGCCTCCTCAGTAGCTAGTATTACAGGCATGCACCACCATACTCGGGTAATTTTTGTATTTGTAGTAGAGACAGGGTTTCACCATATTGGCCAGGCTGGTCTCCAACTCCTAGCCTCATGCAATTCACCTACCTCAGCCTCCTAAAGAACTGGGATTACAGGCATGAGCCACCATACCCAGCCAAAACAGTTATGTTGAATCTCACCCTGACAACATAAATGAAAAACTTGTCTTCACAGGTAAGGGACAAAGGACAGATTTAAAAGTCATCCATCTGCACACTGGAGACAAAAGCATATCTGACTGTTTCCTGTAGTCTATGTGTATTTTTCTTCTGTAAAAATGCAGATTCACTGAGTGCAAGATGAATACATAATTGACTATTCCTCCACCCTTTTCTTTCCGCATGTAAAATGTGGGTTCCATGAATGCTGATCAAAGACTAAAAGGAACACAAATGCTTGGCTTTTCAATATGCTCTCTCTTCCCGCTTGTTTTTCCTTTTGCCTTCCCCTACTGGCCACTCTTTTTCCATTTACTTATTCATTCATTCATTTATTCATTTATTTATTTATTTATTTGGAGATGGAGTCTCACTCTATTGCCCAGGCTGGAGGCAATGGCATGATCTCAGCTCACTGCAACCTCCGTCTCCCAGGTTCAAGCAATTCTCCTGCCTCAGCCTCCTGAGTAGCTGAGACTACAGGCACCCGCCACCACACCTGGCTAGTTTTTGTATTTTAGTAGAGACAGGGTTTCACCAAGTTGGCCAGGCTGGTCTTGAACTCCTGACATCGTGATCTGCCCACCTCAGCCTCCCAAAGTGCTGGGATTACAGGCATGAGCCACTGCACCTGACCTATTTTTTTAAGACAGAATCTTGCTCTGTTGCTCAGGTTGGAGTGCAGTGGTGCAATCTCGGCTCACTGCAACCTCTGCCACTTGGGTTCAATCAATTCTCCTGCCTCAGTCTCCTCAGTAGCTGGGATTACAGGCATGTGCCACCACACCCAGCTAATTTTTGTATTTTTGGTAGAGACAGGGTTTCACCATATTGGCCAGGCTGGTCTCGAACTCCTGACCTCAGCTGAGGAGACTGAGACAATCCTGGTCAACATAGTAAAACCCCATCTCTACTAAAAATACAAAAATTAACTGTGCGTGGTGGCACATGCCTGTAATCCCAGCTACTTGCCAGGCTGATGCAGGAGAATCACTTGAACCAGGGAGTCAGAGGTTTCAGTGAGCCGAGGTCACACCACTGCACTCCAGCCTGATGACAGAGCAAGACTCCGTGTCAAAAAAAAAAAAAAAAAAAAAAAAAAAAAAGGGCTGGGCGCGGTGGCTCACGCCTGTAATCCCAGCACTTTGGGAGGCTGAGGTGGGCAGATCACGAGGTCAGGAGATCGAGACTGTCCTGGCTAACATGGTGAAAACCTGTCTCTACTAAAACTACAAAAAAAAATTAGCCGGGTGTGGTGGCGGGCACCTGTAGTCCCAGCTACTCGGGAGGCTGAGGCAGGAGAATGTGGCATGAACCCAGGAGGCGGAGCTTTCAGTGAGCCGAGATCATGCCACTGCACTCCAGCCTGGGTGACAGAGCGAAACTCGGTCTCAAAAAAAAAAGAGAGAGAGAGAACTTAGTGATTTTAAAGGTTTTTTTCCTTTCTTTTGATATCTAATGTTGGATTTACAACTTTGAAATGCAAAACTACATGTACAAATCTGTGAAACACAGGGCAGATGCTAGACAAAATATGCCAGAATTTCCCAGTGATTACCTCGATTGGAAAATTTCATCTCCAGACTTTTCCATACATTATGCATTTTCTACAGCAAACAAGCATTGCTTTTGTGATCATAAAATACAAGCAGACACAATCAAGACTGGGGGAGGTTTCCTGGGGGAGAGCAGCCAGGCCCAGGATGCAGGGCTCTCCTTCCTGGGACATCAGCCAGGTCAGGGCCCTTGAGGCACAGGTCTGGGCAGCTCTACCAGTGGGCATGGGCAGAGAAGGACCCAGCTGGTTGAGCCCCTGATGCAATTGAGGGCAGGCCCCTTGCCGGAGAGGGAGACAGAACAGCTGCCAAAACACAGCCTTGAGGCCAGGCTCTGTCTGGGGGTCTCGCTGCTGCTCCCCAGCCCACAGGGCTTCCAGCCGCACCAGGACAAGCTTCACTGCAAAGGCGGGAGAGGAGGGGAGGGGATGTGCCTTACCTTGGGGCGTGTGCAGTGTGGACTGTGTGTGCGTGTGCATATGCACATACATTTGTACGTTTGTGGGATACTGGTGGGTGCACAAGCTTTGTATGTGTGGACGTACATGTGTCTGTGTGTGGGGTGTGTATGCACGTGTGTTTACACATATGGGGTTTGGGTGTGCACGTGTTCATACATATGATGTGCGCATGTGTGGGCATATACATGTGTCCATTTATGGGGTATGGGATGCAGATATGTGCATGTATTCATGCACATTCATGTAGCGCATGTGTGTGTTACAGCATATGGTGAGTGCATGGGTGTTCGTATCTGTGGGGTACAGGTATCATGCACGTGTGTTCATCTGTGTGGGGTGTGGGTATACGTGGACCGTGGCCTGAGGCTCCCCCACAGGACACTGCTCCCTGCCGCCTCCCCAGGGGCTAACAGGACCCTGCTCCTCTTGCTAAAGCCAGTTTGGGAGCAGCCCCACCCAGGCAGCCCCAAGCCAACCAGGCTCGCCTCTGACCAGATGGCTGAAGGAGCAGGTAGAGCAGGAAGTGTGAGCCAGTGACCCAGGTTCCCCTGGTGGCCAGGCTTGGTGGCCCATGTCCATGGAGTCCCCCACCTGCCAATGACCTCCAGCCATGTCTCCTGGGTACCAGGCCACCCATGGGTGGGGGTGGGGGTAACTCCCTGCTGACTCACTGCTCAGCTGGCACCAATGAGGTCTCCACCTCAGCCCTGGGCTGAGTGTCCAGTGCTGAGTCCTTCCTACAGGCAGGTGAGCTTGGGAGGCAGGGACCCTGTGGACTTGGGGAGCGGGCTCAGGGTCTGGAGGCCAGAGGCCTTGTCCCCAGGCCCGGCATCCCATCAGCAAGAGCCCAGGAGGCTCTCAGGGCAGCACTCCTCTAGCAATCTCAGGGGCAGCGTCCTCCCAGGAGTCACATCCAGATCACCATACGTACCTGCTGGCCCCTAGCATGTCCCATAAGTGGAGAGGGGTTGGCCTGTGGAGGCAGGGGTGGCCAGAATATGTGCCGGAACCCCATCTACAGGCTGACACCTAAACCCAAATGGCACAGGGGAGCCTGAGCATGAAGTGGCTGGCCTCTCCCTCGCGGGGGCCCAGCAACTGCTGACTCCATGTGCCAAGCCCCGCCTGCCCGCTGGAAAGCCTCAACAGACTGCTCCCTGTGGTGACACCACCACTCGGGTCGGCTTGGCTGAGGCCAGCGGAGCATCTCCCCTCTAGGTCCATTCACATCCATCTTCCCTGGACAAATGAACACTCCCCAAACACTCACTTGCCACTTTGACCCCAGACCAAACACACAGCCACTCCTGGAGTGCCGGTGACTGAGGGTGGCTGGGCCCTTCTGTGCCCACAAAGCAGGGCCTGGGCTATACCTGTGGGGCTGCACGACTGTGCCAGGACAGCCTTACCTTTGCTGGGGGCTTCGTGCCCTCCCAGCTGCGTGTGTCCATGGACGAGGGGACCTGGTAGATGTCATGCCCCATCCCGGCAGAAGGTGGCACCTGGTAAATATCCTGGGCAGGGCCTCCAGGCCCTGGGGACACCTGGTACAGGTCTGTGGCCGGGCTGGGAAACGGGTGATGGGGCGTCTGCTTCGAGAAGGTGGATGTCTGCTTGGCTGGGGGCGACTGGAACTGAGGGCTGGGACCCGGGACTTGGTAGAGGCCTTGCTGAGCCTTGCTGGGAGTGGGCACCAGGTAGACGCTGTCGGGCTGGGGCTGGTAGGTGTTGGGGAGCATGGGCGTGTACTGGGAGGCCGGAGGCACTGGGGCATGGAGGCCAGGCTGAGGCTGGGCCGGGGTGGCGGGAGGGCCGGGGCCAGGCCCTGCTGGCTTCTTATCATACATACCCACCAAGATCTTGAGGTGGTTCCCAGGCATGATGCCCTGGCGCCCGTGCAGCGAGCAGAGCCACCAGCCATCCAGGCCCTGCGTGTCCTGCTCCAGCACCGTCATGATGTCGCCCTTGCGGAAGGAGAGCTCATCCGGGGACTCGGCCACATTGTCATAGAGGGCTTTGGCCAGCACATTCAGGTGGTTCATGGTGTCCGGCGGGCCTGGGGCCCCGGCTCCCGTGGGGGCACACACCGAGCTGCCCGGGCCGCGTGCCCTCGGGGCTCCGAGCGCGCCGCAGCCGCCCCGGTGCCGCCGCGCAGCTGCCGCCTCGGCCATCCACAGCCGGTCCCTTAAGTTTTTTTTTCTTATTGTGACAAAAAGCATATAAGATTAACTGTCTTAACCATTTGTAAATGTACTATTCAGTAGAATTATGTATATTGACATTGCTGTGAAACATCTCCGGGACCTTTTCATCTTGTGAAACGGAATCCCTGTACCCATTAAACAGCGATTCCCCAGTTCCCCTTCTCCCAGCCACTGGTAACTATCATTCCACTTTCTGTTTCTATGAATTTGACTACTTTAGATACCTTATATAGTGGAATCATGCAGTATTTATTGTTTGTGACTGGCTTATTTCCCTTAACATAATGTCGTCAAGGCTTACGTATGTTACAGCACGTGACAAGATTTTCTTCCTTTTTAAGGCTGAATACTACTCCATTGTATGTATAAATCACATTTTGTGTATCCATTCATCCATTCATGGCCTTTGGGTTGCTTCTATCTCTTGTGATTGTGAACAATGGTGCTGTGAACGTGGATGTGCAAACAATCTCTTTGAGACCCTGCTTTTAATTCTTTGATTATATATCCAGAAGTGGGATTGCTAGATCATATGGTAGTTCTATGTTTCATTTTTTGAGGACCCTCCGTACTGTTTCCCATAACCATAATAGCTGCATCATTTTACAATCCCACTAACGGCACACAAAGCTTCTGGTTTCTCTACATCCTCAAAAATGCTTGTTTGTGTTTTTTTCTTTTTCTTTTTTTTTTTTTTGAGACAGAGGCTTATCCTGATGCCCAGGCTGGAGCACAGTGACATGATCATAGTTTATTGCAGCCTGGAGCTCCTGGGCTCAAGGGATCCACCTGCTTCAGCCTCCTGAGTAGCTGGACTACAGGCATGCACCACCACACCCAGCTAATTTTTGTATTTTTGGTAGCAACAGGGTTTTGCCATGTTGCCCAGGTTGGTCTCCAACTCTTGGCCTCAGATGATCCACCTGCCTCAGCCTCCCAATGTGCTGGGATTACAGGCGTGAACCACCATGACGAGCCAAATGAGGCTAATTTTAAATTCTTTTGTAGAGACAGTATTTCATTATGTTGCCCAGGCTGGCCCCAAACACGTAGCTTCAAGTGATCCTCTTGCCTGGGCTGCTCAAAGTGCTGGGATTGGCCGGGTGTGGTGGCTCATACCTGTAATCCCAGCACTTTGGGAGGCTGAGTCGGGCAGATCCCGAAGTCAGGAGTTTGAGACCAGCCTGGACAATATGTTGAAGCCCCGTCTCTACTAAAAATACAAAAATTAGCCAGGCATGGTAGAGCGTGCCTGTAATCCCAGCTACTTGGGAGGGTGAGGCAGGAGAATTACTTGAACCTGGGAGGCAGAGGTTGCAGAGAGCTGAGATTGCACCATTGCACTCCAGCCTGGGTGACATAGCAAGACTCTGTCTCACGGGTGGGGAAAGCGGGGAGGGCTGGGATTACAGGTGTGAGTCACTATGCCTGGTCCACTTATTGTTTTTGATGGTAGCCAACCTAATGGGTATGAGGTGATAGCTCACTGTGGTTTATTTCTCTGATTAGTGATGGTGACCATCTTTTCATATGCTTTTTTGGCCATTTGTATGGCATATTCACCCAGAATAGGTAATTTTTTTAAAACATAAAAATTTAAAAATTATTTTTTAAAAGAAATAATTTGTGTGTGTGTGTGTGTGTGTGTGTGTGTGTGTGAGAGAGAGAGAGATGGAGTCTTGCTCTGTTGCCCAGGTTGGAGTGCAATAGCACCATCTTGGCTCACTACAACCTCCGCCTCCCGGGTTCAAGCAATTCTCCTGCCTCAGCCTCCCAAGGAGCTGGGACTACAGGCGGGTGCCACCACGCCTGGTTAATTTAGGTATTTTTGGTAGAGACAGGGTTTTGGCATGTTGACTGGGCTTGTCTTGAACTCCTGGCCTCAAGTGATCCTGTGCTGGGATTACAGGCGTGAGCCACTGCACCGGGTCTCTGTTCTTGTCAAAAATCAATTAATCGTAGATATTTTGATTTATATCCGGACTCTCATTTCTGTTACACTGGACTGTACCTCTACCTATAGGCCAGTACCAGAGCCTTTTTTTTCCTTTCTTCTTACTGGTAAACTGAAGTCACATCACAGTCTTGATTATTGTAGCTTAGTAGGTTTTAAGATTGGAAAGTATAAATTCTCCAACTTTGTTCTCCTCTTTCAAGATTGTTTTGTCTAATCTGGGTTCTTTGCATTGCTATATGAATTTTAGGATCAGCTTCTCCATTTCTGCCAGAAAGGCAGCTGGGATTTTGATAGAGGTTGCATTGAATCTGTAGATTAGTTTGGGGATTATTGTTGTCATAACCATGTTTAGTCTTCCAATCCATGAATATGAGATGTCTTGATTTAGGTCTTCTTTAATTTTTTTTTTTGTTGGTGGTGGTGAGATGAGGTCTCCCTCTGTTACCCAGGCTGAAGTGCATGATCTCAGCTCACTGCAACCTCTGCCTCCTGGGCTCAAGCCATCCTCCTACCTCAGCCTCCTTAGTAGCTGGGACTACAGTCATGCACCACCCCACCTGGCTAATTTTTGTATTTTTTGTAGGGATGAGGTTTTACCATGTTGCCCAGGATGGTCTTGAGCTCCTGATCTCAAAGCAATCCACCCGCCTCAGCCTCCCAAAGTGCTGAGCTTAAAAGCATGAGCCACTGGGCCTGGTCAGGTGTTCTTTAATTTTTTTCAACAATGTTTCAGAGTTTTCAGTATATGAGTCTCAGACCTCTTTTTTTGAATTATTTCCTATGTGTTTTATTCTTTCAGATGTTATTACAAATGGAATTTCTTAATTTCATTTTTGGATAGTTCATTACTAGTGTATGAAATATAATTGATCTTTGTGTATGGATCTTGTGCCTTTGACCTTGCTGAACTTGTTTATTAGCATGTGTTTTCTCTTTCTCTCTCTGTCTCTAGTGTGTGTGTGGGTGGGGGAAACTTTCTTAGGCTTTCTATATACAAGATCACATCTGCCGGGCACAGTGGCTCACGCCTGTAATCTCAGCACTTTGGGAGGCCGAGGTGGATGGGTCACCTGAAGTCAGGAGTTCGAGACCAGCCTGGCCAACATGATGAAACCCTGTCTCTACTAAAAAAAATACAATTGGCTGGGCATAATGGTGGGTGCCTGTATCCCAGCTACTCAGGAAGCTGAGGCAGGAGAATCACTTGAATCCAGGAGGCAGAGGTTGCAGTGAGGCAAGATCGCGCCACCACACTCCGGCCTGGGCAACAAGAGCAAAACTCCGTCTCAAAAGTAAATAAACAAATAAAAAGATCACATCGTCTGGAAATATAGTTTTACTTTTTCATTTCTAATATAGATGCCATTTATTTTATTTTTTTTTGTGTGCCTAATTGTCCTGGCTGGAACTTCCTCTTTTTTTTTGAGACCGAGTTTTTCTCTTGTTGCCCAGGCTCTGAGGTGCAGTGGCATGATCTTGGCTCACTGCAACGTCCACCTCCCAAGTTCAAGTGACTCTCCTGCCTCAGCCTCCCGAGTAGCTGGGATTATAGGCATGCACCATCACATCTGGCTAATTTTTGTATTTTTAGTAGAGACTGGGTTTCACCATGTTAGTCAGGCAGGTCTCGAACCACTGACCTCAGGTGATCCACCCACCTTGGCCTCCCAAAGTGCTGGGATTATAGGCATGAGCCACCGTGCCCGGACTGGAACTTTCAATATAATGTAGATTATAAGTGACAAGAGTAGATGTACTTGCCTAGTTCCTGATCTTAGGGGGAAAGCTTTGTTTTCCCCATTTAATACATTGTTAGCTGTGGGTTTTTCATAGATGCCTTTAGCAAGTAAAGAAAGTTTCTTTCTATTCCTAGCTTGTGGACTGTTTCTATCATGAAAGGGTGTTGGATTTTGTCAGAAAATTTTTGTGTTTATTGAGAAGATCATGTGGTTTTTGCTTTTTATTCTACTTTTATGGTGCATTATATCAGTTGATTTTTGGGTGTTACTCCAAGCAGGCATGAATCCTACTTGGTCATGTTATAGAATCTTTTTATGTATTACTGGACTTGGCTTGCTAGTATTTTGTTGCAGTTTTTTTTTTTTTTGGTCTTTATGAGAAATATTGGTTATTATTTTTCTTTTCTCATGATGCCTTTGGTTTTGGTACCAGGAAAATATTGGCCTCAATGAATGAGTTTGAAAGTGTCAGCCGGGCACAGTGGGTCACACCCATAATCCCAGCACTTTGGGGGACTGAGGTGGGTGGATAATAAGGTCAGGTGTTCCGAGACCAGCCTGGCCAACATGGTGAAACCCCGTCTCTATTAAAAATACAAAAAAAATTAGCCAGACTTGGTTGTGCGCACCTGTATTCCCAGATACTTGGGAGGCTGAGGCAGGAAAATCGCCTGATTCCGGGAGAGGTTGCAGTGAGCCAAGATTGAGCCATTGCACTGCAGCCTGGGTGACAGAGGGAGACTCTGTAGTATAAGAGGAAGGAATGCATGTTTGTAGTATAAGAGGAAGGAAGGCATTAGAAGGAGGCCTGAAGATTCATTTGGGGGATTTGGGGTGATAGGTAAGGTCAGGGCTTGGAGAGGACAGGAAACTTTTCTTTTTTTTAGACAGTGTCTCACTCTGCCTCCCAGGCTGGAGTGCAGTGGCGCAATCTCTGCTCACTGCAACCTCCGCCTCCTAGTTCAAGTGATTCTCCTGCCTCAGCCTCCCAAGCATCTGGGACTACAGCCACACACCACCATGCACAGCTAATTTTTGTTTCTTTCTTTTTTTTTTTTTTTTTTTTTTTTTTGAGACAGAGTCTCACTCCCTCACCCAGCCTGGAGTGCAGTGGCACGATCTCAGTTCACTGTGACCTCCACCTCCTGGTTCAAGTGATTCTCCTGCTTCAGCCCCCCGAGTAGCTATGATTACAGGCATGTACCACAAGCCTGGCTAGTTTTTGTATATTTTATTTTATTTTATTTTACATTATTTTATTTTATTTTTGAGATGGAGTTTTGCTCTTTCGCCCAGGCTGGAGTGCAGTGACGCAATTTCGGCTCACCACAAGCTCCGCTTCCCAGGTTCATGCCATTCTTTTACCTCAGCCTCCCGAGTAGCTGGGACTACAGGCACCCGCCACCACACCTGGCTAGTTTTTGTATTTTAGTAGAGATGGGGTTTCACCAAGTTGGCCAGGCTGGTCTCGAACTCCTGACATTGTGATCTGCCCACCTCAGCCTCCCAAAGTGCTGGGATTACAGGCATGAGCCACTGCACCTGACCTATTTTTTTAAGACGGAGTCTTGCTCTGTTGCTCAGGTTGGAGTGCAGTGGTGCAATCTTGGCTCACTGCAACCTCTGCCAGTTGGGTTCAATAAATTCTCCTGCCTCAGTCTCCTCAGTAGCTGGGATTACAGGCATGCGCCACCACACCCAGCTAATTTTTGTATTTTTGGTAGAGACAGGGTTTCACCATATTGGCCAGGCTGGTCTCGAACTCCTGACCTCAGCTGAGGAGACTGAGACAATCCTGGTCAACATAGTAAAACCCCATCTCTACTAAAAATACAAAAATTAACTGTGCGTGGTGGCACATGCCTGTAATCCCAGCTACTTGCCAGGCTGATGCAGGAGAATCACTTGAACCAGGGAGTCAGAGGTTTCAGTGAGCCGAGGTCACACCACTGCACTCCAGCCTGATGACAGAGCAAGACGCCATGTCAAAAAAAAAAAAAAAAAAAAGGCTGGGCGCAGTGGCTCACGCCTGTAATCCCAGCACTTTGGGAGGCCCAGGTGGGCAGATCACGAGGTCAGGAGATCGAGACTGTCCTGGCTAACATGGTGAAAACCTGTCTCTACTAAAACTACAAAAAAAAATTAGCCGGGTGTGGTGGCGGGCACCTGTAGTCCCAGCTACTCGGGAGGCTGAGGCAGGAGAATGTGGCGTGAACCCAGGAAGCGGAGCTTTCAGTGAGCCGAGATCGTGCCACTGCACTCCAGCCTGGGTGACAGAGCAAAACTCGGTCTCAAAAAAAAAGAGAGAGAGAGAGAACTTAGTAATTTTAAAGTTTTTTTTTCTTATTGTGACAAAAAGCATGAGGTTCTCAAGGTTCACGCCATGATGGTGCCACTGCACTCCAGCCCCTTCCCTCTACTTTGCTGCCACTCGGATGGGGGAAGCTCTGGAAGACTTCTTAGGGAAGTGGCATATAAACTGTGTGTCATACTTGTTGTTGTTTTTTTTTTTTTTTTTGGAGACAGGGTCTTGCTGTGTCCCACAGGCTGGAGTGCAGTCGCATGATCACAGCTTACCATGGCCTCAAACTCCTGGCTCAAGCAATCCTCCCATCTCAGCCTCCCAAGAGGCTAGGACTACAGGCAAACACCACCACGCCCAACTAATTTTTAAAATTCATCCCACGTAGAAGAGGGGGAAAGGCATGAAAGGGCATTTGTGGCAGAGGAACAGTGTGAGCAAAGACCAATAGTCTGGGAAAAGGAGGAGGATAGGCTGTGGGTGGAGCAGGAAATGTGGGTGCTTCTCTTGGCAAAGGATTCTGAATGCCAGGTGAGCAGGACGAATGTATCTTGTGGGCGCCAGAGAGGCCTGGGCCTCAGCCTGCCCCTGTAAAATGAGGTGATTAGACTGGTCTGCTTCAGGCCTTCCTAGGGCAAGGGGCTGTCACAGAAAGGGTCTACTCTAGGTTCTTCCAGGTTCAACCCCAGAAAGGCAGAATGGGAAGTGGCTGGAGCAGCTCAGAGGCTAGGGGTAATATTTTGCTCCAGAGCCCAAGTCTGAGAATGACTATTTTACCAAGCTGTCTGCATTGCATCCCTAAGTCACCCTGGCTAACCCTCCACCCAGTCAGGGTCCTGCAGGGAAAACCCAGGCCTTGGGTCAGGAGGCAAGAAGGGTGATGGGTGTCTTACCCCTGGCTCCACCCTAGGTAAGGGTTGGCCCTCTTGGAGCCTCAACTTGCTCATATGCACAATGGAGGAGCTGTGCCTTGGGCTCTCTAAGCCTCTCTCCCCAGGACAGCACTGTCATTCTGGAGATGGGAACAGCATTAGCAAAGGAACGGAAGTAGGATTGTGAGGACCTTGTTGGGCAACAGACAGGCAGGTGAGGCTGGAGAATGGAGTCCCTAGAAGTGGATGGTTCTTGTTGGGGTTGGCTGGATCCAAGGGGTATGACCTTCCTCCTTATGTGCAGAACTGGGTGAGCCCTAGGTCATGGCCAGCAGCCCTCGGAGTGGGACTGAGGACCTGTTGGGAAACCAGTTTGGCAAGGCCATCATCTCCATGATGTCATCCAGCCACTGTGTTCTCTGGGCAATAGTGCCAGGCAAACTTCTGGCCCTGCAGGAGGAGAAAGGGCCTCAGATGCCCACTGGGCAGCAATGAATTCCAGGAGACCCAGCCTCACAGACAAAGGAGAGGCAAGGGGCTGGAACAGGAAGGAGAGAGTTCTGGATGTGCCAGCCTGGACCTCTTTAGACTTCTGGGAGTCCCTGATGCCTGGGCGCAGGGAGTGGGGGTCTAGGCTCATGGTGGGACACTATGTAATTGCTACCTGATGGGTTGGACACTGGCTCCTGATCATGCTTATACTACATGTGTGGCAATTTTGTTACCACTATGACCTTCACAGCTTGAGTCCTGTGAGGTAGGACCACCATTATACAGATAAGGAGACAGACTCAGAACCCTCGTTCTTTTGTTGTTTTTTTTTGTTTTGTTTTGTCTTTGAGACAGAGTCTCACTCTGTCGCCCAGGCTGGAGAGTGGAGTGGCACAACCATGGCTTACTGCAGCCTTGACCTCCCAGGCTCACAGTGGGACTACAGACACATGCCACCATGCCCGGCTAATTTTTTTTATTTTTTGTAGAGACAAGGGTCTCCCTGTGTTGCCAGGGCTAGTCTTGAACTCCTGGGTTCAAGCAATCCTCCTGCCTTGACCTTCTGAAGTGCTAAGATTACAGGCGTGAGCCACTGCGCCTGGCCAGAACATTTGTTCTTAATCACCATATTCTACCATCCACCATTTGGAAGCTCCGCTTGGATGAAGCCTGAGCACTGGGGAGACCTGGGCCTCAGTCTGCCCATCTGTAAAATGAGGGGGTTTGACTGGCTTCCTTCAGGCCCTCCTAGGGCAAAAAACTGTAACAAGAAGGGTCTAGATTCTTCCAGGTTCAGCCCTGGACTGGCAGAGTAGGGAGTATCTGGAGCAGCTCAGGGGCCGAGGGTATTTTGGCTCCAGAGTCCAGTCCGAGAATGAATATTTTACCAACCTGTCAGTGTGGGATCCCAGCAAACCCTTCTCTCTACTTCTGAACATAGCACCTGAATCTTGGCATCACAGAGTCCTGGATACCCACCTTATGGTTCAAATAGGTAACTGAGTCCCAGAGAGGACAAGGGACAGGCTTCAGGTAGTGTAGCAAATCAGGAGCAGAGCCATTCTGCATCCCAGATTCTCAACCTCCCAAAACTTTGTTTCCTCCTCAGGTCCTGGCACACTTAAGCATGAAATAACTGACACATATTGAGTGCCTATGGCATACCATGCACTCATGTAACCATCACCACAGCCCTATAAAGCAGATGCTAATAGTCTGTCCCTTTTATGGGCAAAGAAACTGAGGCTCAGAGAGGGGAAGTCATTTGTCCAAGTTGACACTGCATGTTGGTGGTAGGGAAGGGATTTGAACCCAGGTATATAGGCCCTTCCCCCTCAGCAGATCCAGTAAGCCTCACTGGAGGCATGAAGACCTGTAGACAGCAGGGTGGATGGCTCCTTTGCTGGTTCTGAAGGCGCGCAGTGTCCAATTCAGAGTTTCCACGCAGGCCTGGCCTCTCTGGGGCAGGCAGAAAAGTGCTGAGGCTGCAGAAGGGCTCTGAATCTTCCCAGAGGAGGCGGCCATGGTGGGAGGCAGTGCTCTGCACCAACCTCAGAGCCAAGTGTAGACATGGTGGCTGGACCAGCTGCAAACAAGGGAAGGCAGGCAGGGTGGGGCCCAAACCCTAACCCAGCCTCCAAGCCGTGTTCCCAGCCTTCCGCCAGCCAGGCCCTGCCCTACCACCCTTCTCGCTCCCCACCTGGATTTGAGATGAGGACGCCGGGCCTAATAATAGCCAAACGGCAGCAGAGGCAGTGCCTGGAGCCACTGCCAGTTGGAGCCTGGGGTCCCCCATGGTCTCATGTTGGCCTCCAACAGGGTTCAGAACTTTAAAAGTACTGCACTCCAGCCTGGGCGACAGAGTGAGGTCTTGTCTCAAAAACAAAAACAAAACAAAACAAAAACCCTTTAAAATAGCAACTGCTTATGAAGTTTATAATATGTGCTGGGCACTGTGCTAAAGCATAGCCCACAGTAACTTACTTATTCCTCACCCTACCCCCACTGGCTAAGACTATTTCTTTTTTTTTTTTTTTTAAGACAGAGTCTCACTCTGTCACCCAGGCTAGAGTGCAGTGGCGCAATCTCGGCTCACTGAAACCCCTGCCTCCTGGCTTCAAGTGATTCTCCTGCCTCAGCCTCCCAATTAGCTGGGATTACAGGGGCCCGTCACCACGCCTGGCTAATTTTTGTATTTTCAGTAGAGACGGGGTTTCGACATGTTGGCCAGGCTGGTCTTGAACTCCTGAACTGAGGTGATCCATCTGCCTCGGCCTCCCAAAATGCTGGGATTACAGGCATGAGCCACTGTGCCTGGCCAGGCTAAGACTATTCTTAGCCCTTTTGATGGATGGAACACTGCCCCTGATGATAACAGGAACTTGGCAGCCTTCAATTGCTGAGCATGCATACTGTCCCTCCTTGGCACTCTGCTAAGCACTTTCTTTGTATTTTCCCATTGATTCCCCATGGCATTATGAGACAGATGCTAATTTCTTTAGACGAAGAAAAAAATGAGGCCCAGAGAGAAAAGTGACTTGCCCAAGGTCACACAGCTATAATGGACAGAGTCGAGACTCAAACCTAGGACTTTCTAACTGTAGCGAGGCTAAGACCTTAGATTCTGGAAACAGACAAACTTAAGTACGGTGGGTTCATCACTGCTCCTTAGCTATGCAGCCTTGGCAAGTCACATCACCTGCCTGAGCCTCTGTTTTCTCCTCTGTAAATTGAGGGTTTGGGGGAGATAATACTAACACTCCCTGACAGCTATTAAGCCCACGTTGGGTGTAATAAAATAGGTAATTTACAGCACACATTTCCATGGTGCATTCCCTCAGTCAATTCTCACAATAGCCCCCAATGTTAGGACTCCTCTCTTCCAGCACCTGTGTTTTTTGGTTGTTGTGTTTTTTTGTTTGTTTTTTTTTTTAGACAGTTTCACTCTTGTTGCCCAGGCTGGAGTGCAATGGCACAATCTCAGCTCACTGCAACCTCCGCTTCCTGGGTTCAAGCGATTCTCCTGCCTCAGCCTCCTGAGTAGTGAGTAGCTAGGATTACTGGCGTGCGCCACCACGCCTGGCTAAGTTTTATATTTTTAGTAGAGACGGGATTTCACCATGTTGTCCAGGCTAGTCTTGAACTCCTGAACTCAGGTGATTCGCCTGCCTTGGCCTCCCAAAGTGCTGGGATTACAGGTGAGAGCCACCATGCCCGGCCCCAGCACCTGTTTTATAGAAGGGAAATGTGAGTCTCAGAGAGGAGCGGCACTTGCCCAAAATCAATAGCAAGTGAGTCAGGACTTAAGCCCAGGGCTGTGGTTCTAGAGGCTGAGCTCTTTTTTATTTTTTAAGACAGGATCTCTGTCACCCAAGCTGGAGTGCAGTGGTGTGATCATGGCACACTACAGCCTTGACCTGTCTGGGCTCAGGTGATCCTCTCACCTCAGCCTCCCGAGTAGCTGGGACTACAGGCACTCACCACCACACCTGACAAATTTTTATAGAGATGGAGTTTCCCCATGTTGTCCAGGCTGGTCTCAAACTCCTAGTTTCAAGTAATCCGTCCACCTCAGCCTCCCAAAGTGCTGGAATTACACAGGTGTGAGCCACCATTCCCAGCCAGGCATGTGACTATTTTTGGCCAATAGAATATATGGAAGTGGCATTGCCAGTTCGAAGCCTGGGTGTTAAGAGATTGGGCCTTAAGAGATTCCACTCATTCTCTTGGAACTCTCGCAGCTGTTATGTGAACAAGCCTGGGCTATCCTGCCTAAGAGACCACTGGAACAGGGACTAGTTATCCTAGCTGAAGCTGTCCTAGTCAGTCACCATCTAATCCAATAGCTGACCACAGATACATGAGTAAGCCCAACTGAGACCAGAAAAATCTTTAGCTGAGCCCAGGCTAAAGTGCCAGTCCATGAAATCTTGAGCTAAAAAAATGGTTGCTGTTTTAAGGCACTAAGTTTTGGGGTGGTTTGTTATGTAGCATTGTTGTGGCAATTGATAACTGATACACAGTTTTATTCAGTGTAATTAATGCTGGCTGCTGTAACAAACAAAATATCTCAGTGGTTTAACCCAATCAGAGTTTATTTCTCACTCCTGCAAAGTCTGATATAGGTTGGGGCTCTCCCAGGGAGCTCTTTTCCAAGCAGTGACCTTGCCCCCCAATCCTGCCTCCACCCCAGGCTCTCCATGGAATCTATTCCTGAATCCTCTGCATGTGGAAAGGGAATCAGAAAATCAAAGGAGGCACATCCACACTTAACTGCCTTTGCGCAGGGGTCACGTATAATTTCATTGGCCTTTATGTAGTCACATGACTCTACTAACTGCAGGAAAAATGAGAACATGACCTTCCTGTGTGTCCAGGAAAAGGAAACAGGTTACAGAACACAAAGCATTGCTTCTGTTACATTCCTCCTGTTGTGGGGCTGGTGTGCGTGCATGCATGCGTGTGTGTGTGTGTGTGTGTGTGTGTGTCTGTGTCTGTATGTGTGGTGGGAGTTGGAGGGGCGTGTGTGTTAAGTAGAGAATTAACATCTATAAAGAATCAACAGTGGTGCATGCCTGTAATCCCACTACTCTGGGGAGCTGAGGCAGGAGGATTGCTTGAGCTCAGGAGGTTGAGGCTGCACTGAACTGAGATCATGCCATTGCACTCCAGCCTGGGTGACAGAGCAAGACCGTGTCTCAAGAAAAAAAAAAAAAAGAGAGAGAGAGAGAGAGAATCAACTTCAGCACCTACCATGTGTTAGCTTAAATAAGGGACAAGTTATAGGTAAAGAATTTGAGGCTCAGCTTAACTGGGCCTGGTGCCGCATGCCTGTAGTCCCAGCTACTTGGGAGGCTGAAGTGGGAGGATCACTTGACCCTAGGAGGTTGAGGCTGCAGTAAGCAGAGATTGCCCACTGCATTCCAGCCTGGGTGGCAGAATAAGACCTTGTCTTAAAAAAAAGAAAGAGGCTGGGCACAGTGGCTCATGCCTGTAATCCCAGCACTCTGGGGGGCTGAGGCGGGCAGATCACCAGAGGTCAGGAGTTCGAGACAAGCCTGGCCAAGATGGTGAAACCCGGTCTGTACTAAAAATACAAAAATTAGCCAGGCGTGGTGGTGGGCACCTGTAATCCCAGCTACTTGGGAGGCTGAGGCAGGAAAATGGTTTGAACCTGGAAGGCGGAGGTTGCAGTGAACTGAGATCATGCCATTGCGCTCCAGCCTGGGTGAAAAGAGGGAAATTCCATCTCAAAAAAAGAAAAAGAAAAAAAGAATCTGAGACTCAGAAAGGTTGAGGAACTTGCCCCAAATCATACAGCAAGCCAGTTGAGTAGCTATTTTGCGGTAGTGAAGGGCTCAGGGAGATCTGGAGTTGGACAGATCTAGGTACAAATCCCAACTCTGTCAATTCTTCACTGTGTGACATTTGGCAAGTTACTTAATTTCTCTAGGCCTCAGTTTCCTCATCCACAAAGTGGGGAGCTAATACTTCCAACCTTATAAGGTTGGGAGTGATCATTCACAGAGCTTGCATGGGATGGGGATCCTGGTACATGGGCCTTACATAATGAATGTCAGCCACATAGGCAGAAATGATGCTATCTCTGATCTTACCCTGCCAGGGTCCATGAATTTGGCCAAGGGGATTTATTATGTTTTCGATAAATCCTATCCCTTCCCTCTGTCTCTTGTGGTGTAAATGGTTTTATTTACTTCATTAAGAGATGGCAATTTGGCTAAGTGTGGTGGCTCATGCCTGTAATCCCAGCACTTTGGGGGGCTGAGGTGGGAGGATCGCTTGAGTCCAGGAGTTCAAGACCAGCCTGGGCAACATGGCAAAACCCCATCTCTACAAAAAGTACAAAAATGAGCTGGGTGTGGTGGCACCCACCTATAGTCCCAGCCACTTGGGAGGCTGAGGTGGGAGAATCCCTTGAGCCTGGAAGGTGGAGGTTGCAGTGAGCTGAGATCATGCCACTGCACTCCAGATTGGGTATCGGAGTGAAACTCTGCCTCCAAAAAAAAAAAGAGAGAGAGAGAGAAAGAGAGAGCTAGAACTATTTCCCCAGTTGAATTTTTTTTAATTAATTAAGTTTTTAATTTTTTGAGACAGGGTCTCACTCTGTCTCTCAGGCTGGAGTGCAATGGTGTGATCACAGCTCACTGCAGCCTCGACCTCCTGGGCTCAAGCGATACTCCCACCTCAGCCGGTGCATGCCACTATGCCCAGCTAATTTTATGTATTTTGTTTTTGGTAGAGATCAGGTCTCACTTTGTTGCCCAGCTGGTCTCAAACTCCTGGGCTCAAGCAATCCTCCTGCCTCAGCCTCCCAAAGTGCTAGGATTACAGGTGTGAGCCATGATGCCCGCTCCAGCTGAATATTTGTTACTGAATAAACCTTTATAAGCACAAAGCCCCTGAACACCTATGGCTGCTGACAGATGTCTGAAATGCCTCCATTACTGCATTTTTTTTTGAGACAGGGTCTAGCTCTGTTGCACAGGTAGGAGTGCAGTGGCGCAATCATGGCTCACTGAAGCCTTGAACTCCTGGGTGCAAGCAATCCTCCTGCCTCAGCCACCGAAGTAGCTGGGACTACAGGCACACACCACCATGTCTGGCTAATTTTCTTATTTTTTGTACAGATGAGATCTTGCTGTGTTGCCCAGACTGGTCTGGAACTCCTGGCCTCAGCAATACTCCTGCCTTGCCTCCCAAAGTATTGGGATTACAGGAGTGACCCACTGCACTCAGGCTTAAATCTTTTTTTCTTTTTTTTTTTTTTTTGAGACAGAGTTTTACTCTGTCGCCCAGGCTGGAGTGCAGTGGCGTGATCTCAGCTCCCTGCAACCTCTGCTTCCCGGGTTCAAGCAATCCTCCTGCCTCAGCCTCCCAAGTAGCTGGGACTACAGGTGCATTCCACCACACCCGGTTAATTTTTGTATTTTTAGTAGAGACGGGGTTTCATGATGTTGGCCAGGCTGGTCTTGAACCCCTGACCTCAAGTGATCCGCCCACCTGGGCCTCCCAAAGTGCTGGGATTACAGGCATGAGCCATCGTGCCTGGCTGGCTTAAATAATTTTTAAAGTTTTGTTTTGAACAGGTAGTTCTGGGAGGCCAGAGGAGTTATCTCTCAGGAGATAATTATGCTCAAGTCTGGAAGATAAGAAATTGTTGAACAAAAAACTAAGTTGGTCTCGACGTGGGGGTGGGGGTGTTCCAGGCAAGGGGAACAGACTACGCAAATGTCCCAAGGCAGGAACAATCTCCAGAAACTGATGGAAGACCAACGTGAGTGAAGTATGAAGGGTAAGGGAGAAGTGGGGTTTGGATGGGGAGAGGGGAAAAGGCCCAGACTGAAAGGCCCCTGTGGGAACCTTCATAATTTGCAGGACCTGGTGCAAAATGAGAAAAAGGAGCTCCTTGTTCAAAAATTATTAAGTATTTCAAGATAGTGACAGCAGAGCATTACACTGACCCTTCATTGCATGAAGCTGGCCCTGCTCATGGACCATAGTAAGAGGAAAGGACTTTCATGTGAGGGCTGCAGGGACCCATGGAAGGTTTTTGAGCTAGAGGTGATGAGATCTGATTTGCATACGCTTTAGTTGCTGTCGTCACTACCCCACACCTGGATGATGTGTGTCTCTGCACAGGTGGCCTGCTTCACTTTCCTCTTAAACATGTCACTCCCCTGCTCAAGAACCTGGGGTGGTTCCTACTTCCTATTAGACCCAGCCCAGATTCCCTATCCAGACACCCAGAGGCCCTTCAAAATCTTCCCTTACTGGATTTAGTTAATCTAATGTCAACAAAGGCTGTGTGCTGAATCCCAGAGAGATGATGACTCAACCCAAGTTCACACAGCAATTATAGGAGAGCAAGTCAAGGCTGGAACCCAGGTTTCCTGAGGTTGGCCCATCCAGCCCTGAGCGAAGGTGCAGTCCTCTGAAGTGTTTTGTATCCCCCATCCTAGCACAGAGCCATGCACACAGTAGATGCTCAATCTGTGCCTGTGGCCGTGAGTTCGTTCCTCTTAGGGCACATCTCTGCCAGGGCATGGGTGTCCCAGAGTCCAGGATGCAGTTAGCATCCTTCCTGACTCCTTCTCTCCCTCATCCCTACCTCTAGGCATTCACCAAGCCCCACCGCACCCAGGCCAGCTGGCCAGGTCCTGCCCATAGACATGTTGTTTGGCCTGTGCAGTGTTTTAAAGCTTTTCCAATTCATCGTTCTAACATTTTAAAAAATCCGGAAACTTCACATGGCAACCCGCATCTTGTGTCTCTTTGCAAAGTCTCAAGCCTGGGTCTGGGTTCCTTCGGGGAGGCAGTTCTCTCCAACCTCTGAGCTTGCGGTGGGTGGGGTGGGGAGCGGTCACTGTAGTCCCCAGTGGGGCGCCTGAATTTGGGACTTTGAAGCGACAGTGCCCTAATTACCTCCAAGGACCAATAAGGATGCTGGAAGCTGATTCAATCAGACGTATAATAACCCCTCCTTCTGGAGCGGGGCCAGGTGGGGGCAAACGCCGCCTCTGGTCTCTAACAACAGGGAGTAGGAGGGGTGTTTTGCCCTAAACCTTACAACTAGCCCCAACCTGATGTTTGACTTCAGAATCCCTTAGGGCTTCATAGATGAAATGAATGCCCCTGAGAGAGGCCATGCTGCTTCCTCTCACCTGGCCTCTGCCTTTGCTTTCTTCTCCCCCGGGACTGTGCTCTTCGACCTCATCTTCACTCTGGCTGGCTCCGGATTACCATTCAGATCTTAACTCACACGTCACCTCCTTAGAAAAGTCTTCCCAGAGCACGTATCTGAAGCTCCCCAAAATTACTCTGTACTGTAATTACTCCCCATCACAGCACTGACGATCGGAAATGATTAATTTTTTTGTTGTCTCCTGCTAGACTGTGAGCTCTGAGAAGCCAGGGACTTGGGTTTGTCTCGCTCAACAGGGTCCCCAGGACCTAGAAAGGATCTGGCATCAACGAAGGGGCTCAACACACATGTGTGGAACAACTGAACCACTGGATTCACAAAACAGCTTTCCCTGAAGGATGCATGTGACCCCTGGGTCAGCCAGCCAGCATGGGTGGGAGCCAGTAAGGAGGCAGCCAATTTGCAATTAGGGAGCAATTAATAACTACCCAATTGGTACAAAAGACAGCTGAGGGGCTGGGAGGAGAACAAGGGAATGAAGCTCAGAAAGGAGCCTCAGGTCTTTCTTGGAAAATACTGGGAGCGGGCAATGAGGAATCCCCGGGGTAACATTTGAAAACCTCTTCTGTTATTGGAGATTTAAATGATCAGAAGCTCCCCTAAAAGGACTTGGTCCCTTTAAAACATTTTTTTTTTTGAGATGGAGTTTCACTTTTGTCACCCAGGCTAGAGTGCAATGGCACGGTCTTGGCTCACTGCAACCTCCACCTCCCAGGTTCAAGTGATTCTCCTGCCTCAGCCTCCCGAGTAGCTGGGATTACAGGCGTCCACCACCACACCCAGCTAAATTTTGTATTTTTAATAGAGATGGGGTTTCACCATATTGGCCTATTGGTCTCAAACTCCTGACCTCAGGTGATCCACATGCCTCGGCCTCCCAAAGTGCTGGGATTACAAATGTGAGCCACCATGCCTGGCCAAAACATTTTTTAATGGTTTGTAGAGATGAGATTTCACTATGCCCAGGCTGGTCTTAAACTCTTGGACTCAAGAGATCTGCCCACCTCGGCCTCCCAAAGTGCTGGGATTATAGGCATGAGCCACTGAGCCCAGCCAGGACTTGGTCCTTTAAGAAGCAGGTGTGGGCCGGGTGCGGTGGTTCACGCCTGTAATCCCAGCACTTTGGGAGGCTGAGGCAGGCGGATCACAAGGTCAGGAGATCGAAACCATTCTGGCTAACACGGTGAAACCCTGTCTCTACTAAAAATACAAAAAAAAATTCACCGGGCATGGTGGCCGGCGCCTGTAGTCCCAGCTACTCAGGAGGCTGAGGCAGGAGGATGGCATGAACCCAGGAGGCAGAGCTTGCAGTGAGCCAAGATCGTGCCACTGCACTCCAGCCTGGGCAACAGAGCAAGACTTGTCTCAAAAAAAAAAAAAAAGAAGAAGCAGGTGTGCCGGGCTTGGTGTCTCATGCCTGTAATCCCAGCACTTTGGGAGGCCTAAGGGGGAGGATCACGAGGTCAAGAGATCAAGATCATCCTGGCCGACATGGTGAAACCCCATCTCCACTAAAAATACAAAAATTAGCTCGGTGTGGTGGCACTCACCTGTAGTCCCAGCTACTCAGGAGGCTGAGGCAGGAGAATTGCTTGAACCTGGGAGGTGGAGATTGCAGCGAGCTAAGATCATGCCACTGCACTCCAGCCTGATGACAGAGCAAGACTCCATGTCAAAAAAAAAAAACAACCTTTCTGGGCATGGTGGTGTGTGCCTGTAGTCCCAGCTACTCAAGAGGCTGAAGTAGGAAGATTGTTTGAGTCCAGGAGTTTAAGCTTGCACTGAGTCATGATCACACCACTGCACTCCAGCCTGGGCAACAGAGACAGACTCTGTCTCTAAATAAATCAGTAAATCCTGCCTTAGATAAAAATTGCAGACCAGGTGTGGTGGCTCACACCTGTAATCCCAGCACTTTGGCAGGACGAGGTCGGTGGATTGCTTGAGCTTAGGAGTTCAAGAGCGGCCTCGGCAACATGGCAAAACTCTGTCTTTACAAAAAAATACAAAAATTAGCCAGGCATGGTGGCATACACCTGTAGTCCCAGCTACTCAGGAAACTGAGCTGGGAGGATCACTTCAGCCTAAGAGGTTGAGGCTGCAGTGAGCTGTGATTGTGCCACTGCACTCCAGCCTGGGCAACAGAGCAAGACCCTGTCTCAAAAAATAAAATAAAACAAAATAAAATAAAATTGCTGTTGGATTAATTAGGAGGTTTGATATGGAGCAAGTCATCCTTTCATGTTTTGAAGTAACTTTAAAGTTTGTCCACTCAGTAAGACACAAGTATCCATTTGGGCTTCTTCAATATTCTATGGGGTTTGGCCGGGCATGGTGGCTCATACCTGTAATCCCAGCACTTTGGGAGGCCAAGGAGGGCGGATCACTTGAAGCCAGGAGTTCGACACCAGCATGGTAACACGGTGAAACCCCATCTCTACTAAAAATACAAAAATTAGCCAGGCGTGGTGGTGCATCACTGTAGTCCCAGCTGCTTGGGAGGCTGAGGCATGAGAATTGCTTGAATCTGGGAGGTAGAGATTGTGTGAACCAAGATCGTGCAACTGTACTCCAGTCTGGGTGACAGAGTGAGACTCTGTCTCAAAAAAATAAAATAAAATATTCTATGGGGTTCAAGAGTTTCGTTTTTAGGGCCAAAGCATTATTATTGGAGGAAGGCAATCCCTACTTCTCCCACTTATTTCTGCCATGGGAGGAGGGTTCTCCTGCCCAACACCCACAGGCCCAGGCACCTGGAGGCAACTCTAAAAACAGCAGGAGACTACTGAAGGAAATTGTCCATCTCTACGAGGCACTCCTTGTGTCTCCAGAATTTATTAAATGACATCACAGTAAGGCTTGGCAAGTAGGATAAGGGAGTTAGACCAGGGAGGACAGACAGAAGTCTGCAGGCCTGAACACAGGCAGGAAGGAAACGGAAAATGCAAACAGGAGAGGTGAGGCCAGAGCTGAGCACTGCAGAAGGAAAATGAACAACCCTAGTTTGTATTACAGAACACTTTCACAAGTACGGTCTGCCTTTATCCTCAGCAGTTCTTACTGGTAAGATATAATGATATCCATTTTATAGATAAGGATCCTAAAGCCCAGCAAGGTCATGGATCTACACATAACTGAGCCACACATCTTAGATCAGTGCTTTTTCTGCTTGGCACACCCCACAGGGACTGGCACATAATGGGTAAAGAGTTGACATTTATTGAAGAAAAGTAGAAGGTATGCATTTGACAGCACTTAAAAAAAAATGTAGGCCAGGCGCGGTGGCTCACGTCTGTAATCCCAGCACTTTGGGAGGCTGAGGTGGGTGAATCACCTGAGGTCAGGAGTTTGAGACCAGCCTGGCCAACATGGTGAAACCACATCTCTACTAAAAATACAAAAATTAGCCCAGTGTCATTGCATGTGCCTGTAATTCCAGCTACTCAGGAGGCTGAGGCAGAAGAATCGCTTGAACGTGGGAGGTGGAGGTTGCAGTGAGCCAAGATCGCACCACTGCACTCCAGCCTGAGCAACAGAGCAAGACTCCATCACAAAAAATAAAAATAAAATAGAAGCTGATAGGGTATATTTGAGGGGGAAAAGATTCAATAACAGAAATTGAAATGTAGGTAAGCATGAGGAAGTTGTAAGCACTTCCTAGCTCTGTCTTTTTTTTTTTTTTTGAGACGGAGTTTCACTCTTGTTGCCCAGGGTAAAGTGCAATGGCGTGATCTCGGCTCACGGCAACCTCCACCTCCCGGGTTCAAGCGATTCTCCTGCCTCAGCCTCCTGACTAGCTGGGATCCACCTCCCGGGTTCAAGCGATTCTCCTGCCTCGGCCTCCCGAGTAGCTGGGATTACAGGCATGCGCCACCATGCCCAGCTAATTTTGTATTTTTAGTAGAGACGGGGTTTCTCCATGTTGATCAGGCTGGTCTCAAACTCCCGACCTCAGGTGATCCACCCGCCTCAGCCTCCCAAAGTGCTGTGATTACAGGTGTGAGCCACTGCACCCAGCCTCTAGCTCTGTCTCTTACTTGAATGTGATCTCACCCTGTGTGCCTCAGCTTCCTCATTTGGAAATCCAGGTCTCAGAGTCAGGAAGTAACTTTTTGGTTACCTTACACTGAACACTGAAGGTTGCATAAGAGTTGGTTACATGCTGGGCGCAGTGGCTCATGCCTGTAATCCTAGCACTTTGGGAGGCCGAGGTAGGTGGCTCATCTGAAGACAGGAGTTTGAGACCAGCCTGGCCAACATGGTGAAACCCCGACTCTATTAAAAATACAAAAATTAGCCAGGTGTGGTGGCACTTGCCTGTAATCCCAGCTACTCGGGAGGCTGAGGCAGGAGAATCTCTGGAACCCGGGAGGCAGAGGCTGCAGTGAGCAAAGATTGTGCCACTGCACTCCAGCTGGAGACAGAGCAAGACTCCGTCTCCAAAAAAAAAAAAGAGAGATACACTCCAGGTAGATGGGACTGCATGAGCAACGGCTTGGGTTAGAAATTATGGCAGCATGGATGAGAGACACTGTTCTCATGTATTTTGTTTCACGAGGACAATAATAAAACTTGTTTACTGTGATGACAATTAAATAAGATAATGCAGGTAAGGTGCTTAGCAGAGGCTTGTACATAATGAACTCAGTAATGGTGCTTGTTTTTACTGCTATTTTTGTTGTTTTTACAGATTAAAAAAACAAAGGCTCTGATAGGTGATATGTAGGCCAGGCACACAGCTATTGGTTGTTGAGCAGGATTTGAACCCACAGCTTTTATTTATTTATTTATTTATTTATTTATTTATTTACTTATTTACTTACATTTTTAAATTTAATTTTTTTTTTTTTTTGAGATAGGTTCTCACTCATTGCCCAGGCTGCAGTGCAGTGATGTGATCTCGGCTCACTGCAACCTCTGCCTCCCAGGTTCAAGTGATTCTCCTGCCTTAGCCTCCTGAGTAGCTGGGACCACAGGCACATGAAATCATGACCAGCTAATTTTTATATTTTTAGTAAAGACAGGGTTTCGCCATATTGGCCAGGCTGGTCTTGAACTCCTGACCTCAAGTGATCCGCCCACCTTGGCCTCCTAAAGTGCTGGGATTACAGGCGTGAGCCCACTGCACCCAGCCTATTTATTTGCTTTTAGAGACGGAGTCTCACTATGTTGTCTAGGGTGGAATGCAGTGGCTATTCACAGTCACAATCCCTCCACTGATCAGCACAGTTTTGACCTGCTCCATTTTCATCCTGGGCCTGTTCACCCCTCCTTAGACACCCTTGCTTACAGGAGGTCACATATTGAAGCTGAACTTAGCACAGACACTCGATCAATATAGCACACTACAGCCTAGAACTCTTGGGCTCAAGAATCCCTAGGCTTATCCTCCTGCCTCAGCCTTCTGAGGAGCAGGAACCACAGGGACACACCACTGTTCCCGGCACCATATCTTCTTGACACTAAGAGACCAGGCTCTGAACCACTGTGTTCAAGTTACCCCGTTGTGGGGCCTCTGTTCCTGCCCTAGGGGCCTCCCTGACTCAGCAACTGTGGGTGGCTTTGCTTCTGTGCCTGGACAGCAGAGGAGGTGAGAAGCCTTCCAGTTCCTTGAAAACCAAATACGGCCAGACCAGGCCTCTGAGGCCCAACCCTCAGGCTTGGCCTGCTCCTGCCTGCTCATATGGGCTGTGGGGCGCAACTCCCTACTCAACCTCCTGGCTCTGCTCCAGGGGGCTCTGGCAGAACCTCCATCCAGATCCTCCTTCTCAGGATCTTGTTGGGAAAAATACTGAAAGAGAACATAAAATGAGTGCCTCTCATCCATGCTGCAATAATTCCTAATTCTAAGACTTTGCTCATGTAATTTGGTCCACGGAGTACCTCTCAAATCAGTGTTTAATGTGTCTTTGGTGGCCAGTGTGAGCTATCAGGAAGAGTTACTTTATAACTGTGAGACCTGCAGTAAGTCACTCATCTCATCCATCCACCCATCCATCCATCCATCCATCTACCCACCCATTGGGCACCTACCTGTGCCAAACACATTACATACAGACTCTTCTTCCAGACCGGAAACTCCATGAGAATTGCAGACCAGGTGTCAAAAGATAATTATTCAGGGCAGGCATGGTGGCTCATGCCTGTAATCCCAGCACTTTGGGAGGCCGAGGTGGGTGGATCACTTGAAGTCAGGAGTTTGAGACCAGCCTGGCCAACATGGTGAAACCCTGCCTCTACTAATAATGCAAAAATCAGCCAGGCGTGGTGGCATGCATCTGTAATACCAGACACTTGGGAGGCTGAGACAGAAGAATCACTTGAATCCAGGAGGTAGAGGTTGCAGTGAGCCAAGATCGTGCCATTGCACTCCAGTCTAGGCAACAGAGTAAGACTCTGTCTCAAAAAATAATAAAAAAATTAAAAAAAAGATAATTATTCAACCAATATCCATGTGTCTCAATGTGTCTCCTCCAATTTATATATTGAAACATAATCTGCAATGTGGTAGTATTAAGAGGTGGGACTTTTGGGGGCGATCACTTCATGAAGCTCCATCCTTATAAATGGGATTAGTGCCCTTATAAAAGAAGCCTGAGGGAGTTTGTTCACCCCTTCTACCATGTAAGGACACATAGAAGACGTCCTCTATGAGGAACAGGCCCTCATTGACACCCAATCTACTGACGCCTTGTTCGTGGATTTCTCGGCCTCTAGAACTATGAGCAACATATTTCTGTTGTTTATATATTACTGAGTCTGAGGTATTTTGTTATAACAACAGGAGCAGACTAAGACAATGAACCGATGGGCCAAGGCTTGTCCTTACTACAGTCCTGGTAAGGCTGTTATCATTATCACCCCCATTTCACAGTTGAGAAGCCCGACACTCAGAGAGGGGAAGTACAAAGAACATACAGCCAGAGATGAGTGGAGCTGAGACTTGGCCAAGTTCTTAACCCTCCTAACAGGGAGGAACCATGCTAAGGGGCAGGCCCTGGAGGAGGACACGGACCATTTCTCCTTCAGCTCTTGGCTTCCTTGGCAGGAAGTGGATTAATTCTTTCTCTTGTCTCCTTCCTAACCAAGCCTTTGAGGGTGCCCAGCTCAGAGTCTACAAAGTCCTTTTCAAGGTTTCTAGAGCCCTCCTCTCAGCCCTGTAGGGGATTCAGGGCGGGGGGACCTTCCTCATGGTTCAGATGGGAGAATTGAGGCCTCTACTGCCCACAGTTATGTGCCATATTAGGGGCCTGGAATCTCATGCTTCAAGAAACTGAGCATGGAACTGGCTGCTAGATATTTCCTGTAGGTGTGGTATGAAGCTCTTAGAGTCTGACAGGTCCTAGCTCTGCCACTTACAAGTTATGCAGTCTTAGAGGAATCACTTCACCCCTCTGAACTGCAGACTTCTCCCCTGAATAGTGAGGACAGTGCTAGTACCTATTTGAGAGATGTTGGGAGGATGAAATGAAACAATGCTTGTGAAGCACTTAGCGTAGTACCTGGAACATAGTCAGTGCTCCAACAATGAGGCTATTATGGTACTAAGTACCTAAAACAGAACATCAGACTGGTAGGAATATCCATGCTGAGGGTAATGTTAGCTAATGTTTCCCTTTTTTTGAGACAGAATCTCGCTCTGTCGCCCAGGCTGGAGTGCCATGGCCCAATCTCAGCTCACTTCAACCTCCACTTCCCAGATTCAAGCAATTCTCCTGCCTCAGCCTCCCATGTAGCTGGGATTACAGGCACAAGCCACTTCGCCAGCTAATTTTTGTATTTTTAGTAGAGACAGTGTTTCACTGTGTTGGCCAGGCTGGTCTCCTACTCCTGGCCTCAAGTGATCCACCCTCCTTGGCCTCCCAAATTGTTAGGATAACAGGCGTGAGCCACCATGCCTGGCCAGCTAACGTCTTTTTTATTGCTACTATGTACCAGACACATTCATCTGGACAATATCCCTGTAACTTAGTGCCATTTTACAGATGTGATAACTAAAATTAGCCCAGCTAATTTTCTTGTATATTTAGTAGAGACGGGTTTTCACCATGTTTGCCAACCTGGTCTTTTTTTTTTTTTTCTCAGATGGAATCTTGCTCTGTTGCCCAGGCTGGAGTGCAGTGGTGCAATCTTCGTTCGCTGCAACCTCCAACTCCCGGGTTCAAGCAATTCTCCTCCCTGGGCCTCCCGAGTAGCTGGGGTTACAGGCGTGTGCCAGCACGCCCAGCTAATTTTCTTGTATATTTAGTAGAGACGGGGTTTCACCATGTTGACCTGGCTGGTCTTTTTTTTGTTTGTTTGTTTGTTTTGTTTTTCTGAGATGGAATCTTGCTCTGTTGCCCAGGCTGGAGTGCAGAGGTGCAATCTTGGTTCGCTGAAACCTCCACCTCCCGGGTTCAAGCGATCCTCCTGCCTGGGCCTCCTGAGTACCTGGGGTTACAGGCGTGTGCCAGCACGCCCAGCTAATTTTGTTGTATATTTAGTAGAGACGGGGTTTCACCATGTTGGCCAGGCTGGTCTTTTTTTCTTTTTTCTTTTTTTTCTGAGATGGAGTCTGGCTCTGTTGTCCAGGCTGGAGTGCAGTTGTGCAATCTTGGTGCACTGCAACCTCCACCTCCAGGGTTCAAGCGATCCTCCTGCTTGGGCCTCCTGAGTAGCTGGGATTACAGGCATGTGCCACCATGCCCAGCTAATTTTTTTGTATATTTATTAGAGACAGGGTTCCGCTATGTTGGCCAGGCTGGTGTTTCTCTTATTTTTTTGAGATGGAGTCTTGCTCTATTGCCGAGGCTGGAGTGCTTCTTTTTTTCAGATGGAGTCTCACTCTGTTGCCCAGGCTGGAGTGCTTCTTTTTTTTGAAATGGAGTCTCACTCTGTTGCCCAGGCTGGAGTACAGTGGCGCAATCTTGGCTCGCTGCAGCCTCCACCTCCTGGGTTCAAGTGATCCTCCTGCCTGGGCCTCCCGAGTAGCTGGGATTACAGGCCTGTGCCACCACGCCCAGCTAATTTTTTTGTATATTTAGTAGAGACGGGGTTTCACCATGTTGGCCAGGCTGGTGTGTTTTTTTTTTTTTTTTTTGGTTTTTTTTTTTTTTTGGAGATGGAATCTCGCTTTACTGCCCAGGCTGGATGGAGTGCTTCTTTTTTTTCAGATGGAGTCTCACTCTGTTGCCGAGGCTGGAGTACAGTTGTGCAATCTTGGCTTGCTGCAGCCTCCACTTCCCGGGTTCAAGCGATCCTCCTGCCTGGGCCTCCTGAGTAGCTGGGATTACAGGTGTGTGCCACCACGCCCAGCTAATTTCTTTGTATATTTAGTAGAGACGAGGTTTCACCAAGTTGGCCAGGCTGGTCTTTTTTTTTTTTTTTTTTTTTTTTTTTTTCTGAGAGGGAGTCTCGCCCTGTTGCCCAGGCTGGAGTGCAGTGGTGCAATCTTGGTTCGCTGCGACCTCCACCTCCCGGGTTCAACAGATCTTCCTGCCTGGGCCTCCCAAGTAGCTGGGATTACAGGCGTGTGCCACCACGCCCAGCTGATTTTTTTGTATATTTATTAGAGACGGGGTTCCACTATATTGGCCAGGCTGGTGTTTTGTTTTGTTTTTTTTTTTTTGGAGATGGACTCTCGCTCTACTGCCCAGGCTGGATGGAGTGCTTCTTTTTTTCAGATGGAGTGTGGCTGGGTGGCTTGGGTGGCTGGGCTGGCTGGCTGGCTTGGCTGGGTGGCTTGGCTGGCTGGCTGGCTGGCTTCGGTGGCTGGGTGGCTTGGCTGGCTTGGCTGGCTGGCTGGCTGGCTTGGCTGGCTTGGCTGGCTGGCAGGCTTGGCTGGAATGACTGGATTGGCTGGCTTGGCTGGCTGGCAGGCTTGGCTGGAATGGCTGGCTTGGCTGGCTTGGCTGGCTGGCAGGCTTGGCTGGAATGGCTGGCTTGGCTGGCTTGGTTGGCTGGCTGGCTTGGCTGGCTTGGCTGGCTGGGTGGCTTGGCTGGCTTGGCTGGCTGGCCGGCTTGGCTACCTTGGCTGGCTGGCAGGCTTGGCTGGATTGGCTGGCTGGGTGGCTTGGCTGGCTTGGCTGGCTGGCTGGCTGGCTTGGCTGGCTTGGCTGGCTGGCAGGCTTGGCTGGAATGGCTGGCTTGGCTACCTTGGCTGGCTGGCAGGCTTGGCTGGATTGGCTGGCCTGGATGGCTTGGCTGGCTGGCTGGCTTGGCTAGCATGGCTGGCTCGCTTGGCTGGCTGGGTGGCTTGGGTGGCTTGGCTGGCTGGCTGTCTTGGCTGGCTGGCTGGCATGGCTGGCTTGGCTGACTAGGTGGCTTGACCGGCTTGGCTGGCTGGGTGGCTTGGCCGGCTTGGCTGGCTGGCTGGCTTGGCCGGCCTGGGTGGCTGGCTGGCTTGGCTGGCTGGGTGGCTGGCTGACTTGGCTGGCTGGGTGGCTTGGCTGGCTTGGCTGGCTTGGCTCTCTGGCAGGCTTGGCTGGATTGGCTCTCTGGCAGGCTTGGCTGGATTGGCTGGCTTGCCTGGTTTGGCCGGCTTGGCTGGCTGGCAGGCTTGGCCGGCTTGGCTGGCTGGCTGGCTTGGCCGGCTTGTCCGGCTGGGTGGCTTGACTGGCTTGGCTGGCTGGGTGGCTTGGGTGGCTTGGCTGGCTGGGTGGCTTGGCTGGCTTGGCAGGATGGGTGGCTAGGCTGGCTTGGCTGGCTGGCTGGCTTGGCTGGCTTGGCTAGCTTGCCTGGCTTGGCTGGCTTGGCTGGCTTGGCTGGCTGGGTGGCTGGCTGGCTTGGCCAGCTGGGTGTCTTGGCTGGCTTGGCTGGCTTGGGTGTCTTGGCTGGCTAGGCTGGCTGGCTGGCTTGGCTGGCTTGGATGGCTGGCTGGCTTGGCTGGTTTGGGTGGCTTGGCTGGCTAGCTGGCTTGGCTGGATGGGTGGCTTGGCTGGGTTGGTGGGCTGGCTGGCTTGGCTGGCTTGGCTGGCTTGGATGGCTGGCTGGCTTGGCTTGCTTGGCTGTCTGGGTGGCTTGGCTGGCTGGCTGGCTTGGTTGGCTTCGCTGGCTGACTGGCTTGGCTGGCTTCGCTGGCTTGACTGTTTGGGTGGCTTGGCCGGCTTGGATGGCTGGGTGGCTTGGCCGGCTTGGTTGGCTGGCTGGCTTGGCTGCCTCGGTGGCTGGCTGGCTTGGCTGGCTGGGTGGCTGGCTGGCTTGGCTGGCTGGGTGGCTTGACTGGCTTGGCTGGCTGGCTGTCTTGGCTTTCTAGCTGGCATGGCTGGCTTGGCTGGCTGACTGGGTGCCTGGCTGGCTTGGCTGGCTTGGGTGGCTTGGCTGGCTAGGCTGGGTGGCTGTCTGGCTTGGCTGGCAGGTTGGCTTGGCTGGCTTGGCTGGCTTGGGTGGCTTGGCTGGCTAGGGTGGCTGGCTGGCTTGGCTGGCTTGGGGGGCTGGCTGGCTTGGCTGGCTTGGCTGGCTAGGCTGGGTGGCTGGGTGGCTTGGCTGGCTTGGCTGGCTTGGGTGGCTTGGCTGGCTAGGCTGGGTGGCTGGGTGGCTTGGCTGGCTTGGGTGGCTTGGGTGGCTTGGCTGGCTAGGGTGGCTGGCTGGGTGGCTTGGCTGGCTTGGCTGGCTTGGGTGGCTTGGCTGGCTAGGGTGGCTGGCTGGGTGGCTTAGGGGGCTGGCTGGCTTGGCTGGCTTGGCTGGCTTGGCTGGCTGGCTGGCTTGGCTGGCTGACTGGCATGGTTGGCTTCGCTGGCTTGGCTGGCTGGCTTGGCTGGCTTGGCTGGCTGGCTGGCTTGTCTGGCTTGGCTGGCTGGCTTGGCTGGCTTGGCTGGCTTGGCTGGCTTGGCCGGCTGGCAGGCTTGCCTGGCTTTTCTGGCTTACTGGCTTGGCTGGCTTGGTCGGCTTGGCTGGCTGGCTTGGGTGGCTTGGCTGGCTTGGCTGGCTGGCAGGCTTGGCTGGCTTGGCTGGGTTGGCTGGCTGGCTGTCTTGGCCGGCTTGGCTTGCTTGGCTGCCTGTGCTGGCTGGCTGGCTGGGCTGTCTGGCTGGTTGGCTGGCTTGTCTGGCTTAGCTGCCTGTGCTGGCTGGCTGGCTGGGCTGTCTGGCTGGTTGGCTGGCTTGGCTGGCTTGGCTGGCTTGACTGACCGGCTTGGCTGGCTTTGCTCTCTTGGCTGGCTTGGCTGGGTGGCTGGCTTTGCTGGGTGGCTGGCTGGCTTGGCTGGTGGTCTGGTTTGGCTGGCTGACTGGCTGGGCTGGCTGGGCTCGCTGGCTGGCTTGCCCAGCTTGGCTGGCTGGGCTGGCTGGGCTCGCTGGCTGGCTTGCCCGGCTTTGCTGGCTGGCTGGCTGGGCTGGCTTGGCTGGCTTGGCTGGCTGGGTGGCTTGGCTGGCTGGCTGGTTTGCCTAGCTTGGCTGGCTGGCTTGGCTGGCTGGGTGGGTTGGCTGCCTTGGCTGGCTGGCTGTCTTGGCTTTCTAGCTGGCATGGCTGGCTTGGCTGACTGGGTGCCTGGCTGGCTTGGCTGGCTGGGTGGCTTGGCTGGCTTGGCTGGCTTGGGTGGCTGGGTGGCTTGGCTGGCTGGCTTGGCCGGCTGGGCTGGCTGGCTGGCTTGGCTGGCTGACTGGCATGGTTGGCTTCGCTGGCTTGACTGTTTGGGTGGCTTGGCCAGCTTGGCTGGCTGAGTGGCTTGGCTGGCTTTGCTGGCTGGGTGGCTTGGCTGGCTTGGCTGGCTGGGCGGCCCACTGGCTTGGCTGCCTGACTGGCTGGCTGGCTGGCTGGCTGGCTGGCTTGGCTGGCTGGGTGGCTTGGTTGGCTTGGCTGGCTGGCTGTCTTGGCTGGCTGGCTGGCATGGCTGGCTTGGCTGACTGGGTGGCTGGCGGGCTTGGCTGGCTGGGTGTCTTGGCTGGCTGTGTGGCTTGGCTGGCTTGGCTGGCTGGGTGGCTTGGCTGGCTTGGCTGGCTAGGTGGCTTGGCTGGCCTGGCTGGCTGGCTGGCTTGGCTTGCTTGATTGGCTTGGCTGGCTTGGCTGGCTGGCTGGCTGGCTTGGCTGGCTGGGTGGCTTGGCTGGCTTGGCCAGCAGGGTGGCTTGGCCGGCTGGGTGGCTTGGCTGGCTTGCCTGGCTGGGTGGCTTGGCTGGCTTGGCTGGCTGGCTGGCTTGGCTGGCTTGGCTGGCTTACTGGCTTGGCTGGCTTGGTCGGCTTGGCTGGCTGGCTTGGGTGGCTTGGCTGGCTTGGCTGGCTGGCAGGCTTGGCTGGCTTGGCTGGGTTGGCTGGCTGGCTGTCTTGGCCGGCTTGGCTGGCTGGCTGGCATGGCTTGCTTGGCTGCCTGTGCTGGCTGGCTGGCTGGGCTGTCTGGCTGGTTGGCTGGCTTGTCTGGCTTAGCTGCCTGTGCTGTCTGGCTGGCTGGGCTGTCTGGCTGGTTGGCTGGCTTGGCTGGCTTGGCTGGCTTGACTGACCGGCTTGGCTGGCTTTGCTCTCTTGGCTGGCTTGGCTGGGTGGCTGGCTTTGCTGGGTGGCTGGCTGGCTTGGCTGGTGGTCTGGTTTGGCTGGCTGACTGGCTGGGCTGGCTGGGCTCGCTGGCTGGCTTGCCCGGCTGGGCTGGCTGGGCTGGCTGGGCTCGCTGGCTGGCTTGCCCGGCTTGGCTGGCTGGCTGGCTGGGCTGGCTTGGCTGCCTTGGCTGGCTTGGCTGGCTGGCTGGCTTGGCTGGCTTTGCTGGCTGGCTGGCTGGGCTGGCTTGGCTGGCTTGGCTGGCTGGGTGGCTTGGCTGGCTGGCTGGTTTGCCTAGCTTGGCTGGCTGGCTTGGTTGGCTGAGTGGGTTGGCTGCCTTGGCTGGCTGGCTGTCTTGGCTTTCTAGCTGGCATGGCTGGCTTGGCTGACTGGGTGCCTGGCTGGCTTGGCTGGCTGGGTGGCTTGGCTGGCTTGGCTGGCTTGGGTGGCTGGGTGGCTTGGCTGGATTGGCTGGCCGGCTGGGCTGGTTTACACGGCTGGCTGGCTTGGCTGGCTTGGCTGGCTGGCTGTCTTGTGTGGCTGGCTGGCATGGCTGGCTTGGCTGACTGGGTGGCTGGCGGGCTTGGCTGTCTGGGTGGTTTGGCTGGCTTGGCTGGCTGGGTGGCTGGCTGGCTTGGCTGGCTGGGTGGCTTGGCTGGCTGCGTGGCTTGGCAGGCTTGGCTGGCTGGGTGGCTGGCTGGCTTGGCTGGCTGGGTGGCTTGGCTGGCTTGGCTGGCTGGGTGGCTTCGCTGGCTTGGCTGGCTAGGTGGCTTGGCTGGCTTGGCTGTCTGGGTGGCTTGGCTGGCTTGGCTGGCTAGGTGGCTTGGCTGGCTTGGCTGGCTTGGGTGGCTTGGCTGGCTTGCCTGGCTTCGCTGGCTTGGCTGTCTGGGTGGCTTGGCTGGCTTGGCTGTCTGGGTGGCTTGGCTGGCTTGGCTGGCTGGCTTCCTTGGCTGGCTTGGCTGGCTGGGTGGCTTGGCTGGCTTGGCTGGCTGGGTGGCTGTCTGGCTTGGCTGGCTGGGTGGCTTGGCTGGCTTGGCTGGCTTGGGTGGCTTGGCTGGCTAGGCTGGGTGGCTGTCTGGCTTGGCTGGCTGGGTGGCTTGGCTGGCTTGGCTGGCTTGGGTGGCTTGGCTCGCTAGGGTGGCTGGCTGGCTTGGCTGGCTTTGGGGGCTGGCTGGCTTGGCTGGCTTGGCTGGCTAGGCTGGGTGGCTGGGTGGCTTGGCTGGCTTGGCTGGCTTGGGTGGCTTGGCTGGCTAGGGTGGCTGGCTGGCTTGGCTGGCTTGGGGGGCTGGCTGGCTTGGCTGGCTTGGCTGGCTAGGCTGGGTGGCTGGGTGGCTTGGCTGGCTTGGCTGGCTTGGGTGGCTTGGCTGGCTAGGCTGGGTGGCTGGGTGGCTTGGCTGGCTTGGCTGGTTTAGGTGGCTTGGCTGGCTAGGGTGGCCGGCTGGGTGGCTTGTCTGGCTTGGCTGGCTTGGGTGGCTTGGCTGGCTAGGGTGGCTGGCTGGGTGGCTTGGGGGGCTTGGCTTGCTTGGCTGGCTGGTTGGCTTGGCTGGGTTGCTTGGCTGGCTTGGCTGGCTGGCTGGCTTGGCTGGCTGACTGGCATGGTTGGCTTCGCTGGCTTGACTGTTTGGGTGGCTTGGCCAGCTTGGCTGGCTGAGTGGCTTGGCTGGCTTTGCTGGCTGGGTGGCTTGGCTGGCTTGGCTGGCTGGGCGGCCCACTGGCTTGGCTGCCTGACTGGCTGGCTGGCTGGCTGGCTGGCTGGCTTGGCTGGCTGGGTGGCTTGGTTGGCTTGGCTGGCTGGCTGTCTTGGCTGGCTGGCTGGCATGGCGGGCTTGGCTGGCTGGGTGTCTTGGCTGGCTGTGTGGCTTGGCTGGCTTGGCTGGCTGGGTGGCTTGGACATTAAATATAATATATTTGGTACATTAAATATAAACATTGTATACATTAAATATAAACATCTTTTATACATCAAACATAAACATTTTATACATTAAATGTAAACATATACATTAAATATAAACATCTTGTATACATTAAATATAAGAATACATTTGGTACATTTAATGTATACAATACATTAAATATAGACATTTTAGACATTAAATATAAGCATATATTCAGCACATTAAATGTAAACATATTTTATACATTAAATATAAATACTGTATATGTTAAATATAAATATGTATTTTCTATATTAAATATAAATATGTATTCTGTACATTAAATATAAACATTTTCTATATTAAATATAAACATGTATTTTGGATAGTAAATATAACTATACATTGTCTATATTAAATATTAACATGTATTTTGTATATTAAACATAAACATATATTTCCCATATTAAATATAAACATATATTTTTATGTCAAATATAAATATATATTTTATATATTAAATATAAATATGTATTTCCTGTATTAAATATACACATATATATTAAATATAAATATATTTTTCCATATGAAATGTAAACATATTTTAAACATTAAATATATTCATCTTAGATATGGCCCGTGTTGGAATGTGTAATAGATTGAGTATATAATGTCTACTCAATATAAAATTTATATTTATATATGCAGTAATGATTCAGGTTGATTGTAGTTAAGAAAAACAAGCTCCAAATTCGAAAGAAATATGTAAGAAGAGAGACAGGGAGAAAAAATAATGAGGCAGGTAAATGCAACAGACAATTCGAGACCCACAAGTGCAGAGCAGGCTTCCCAGACCCGGGTAATGTCTCCTGGGCTGATAGGAAGCCCTCAACCCCCCAAGTCCTTGTCAGCCATAAACCACCTGAGCACAGAGCCAGAGGGACCATGTTGGGGCTGGGCCTCCCGACTTCAGTTCCTCTCATTCTGTGCAAAGGAAAAACAATTCAGAATCTACAGAGGTTTAGACGTGTGTAGATGTGGACAGAGAAGTCCGGGCACAGTGGTTTACTGCCCAAGAAGACAGTGAGTCCCCGGAGGAATAGAATAATATACATCATGCTAATATATGTCATCCCAGTACTTTGGGAGGCCGAGGTGGGTGGATCACTTGAGGTCAAGAGTTCGAGACCAGCCTGGCCAACATGGTGAAACACCGTCTCTACTAAAAATACAGAAATTAGTTGGCTGCAGGGGTGGATACCTATGATCCCAGAAACTCGGGAGACAGAGGCAGGACGAACTGCTTGAACCTGGGAGGAGGAGGTTGCAGTGAGCTGAGATCATGCCATTGCACTCCAGCCTGGGGGACAGAGCAAGATCCCGTCTCAAAGAAAAAAGAAAAAAAGAAGTTGTGAGTGCTAAGTTCTCTCTGGATTTTCAGGAGGCCAGTTCTCCAGTCCACGGTGTCCTGGGAGGACAGGGGTTCCTGAGGGTGAACAGAGCCTGTGCCCGGTCAGGTAGGATCACATGTCCCTGAAGTTCAGAACCCAGGAGAATGGGGAGGGTCCTGGGGGTTCCTGCTGCATGGAGGGAAGACCCTCTTTCCACAGGGGCCCCAGAGAGCGAGAGGAAGGAGGAGGGCAGGTCAGTGAGTGTGATGGTCACAGTGGAGAGGGAAGCAGAAAGAAGTGTTCCCACAACAAGACACACACAGTGTCCACGCTGAAGCTACAGAGAGGACCTCTCCACCTGTGTCTGCCGCAAAGCAGTAGGGCGTCTTCTGGCAGCCCAGAGTCACCTCCAGATCCCACCTGCACCATGCTTCCTGCGGGGACTGCCTGTCTTCCTAATACACTGTCTTCTGACCAGTCTTCCAGACAAATCACCGGTTGCTATATATATATATATTTTTTTTAATAGCTAATATCTTACACTGATATATTTATATTATATATAAATATTTTTGTACTTTATGTTTATGCTATATATACAGATGTAGTTAGCTATTTATGTTATATATAATATAAACATGATGTATATTCTTATATTTCTCTGGGGACTCACTGTCTTAATAAACTGTCTTCTGACCAAATTCTTCCAGACAAATCAGCTGTTGCTATATATATATATATATATATATATATATATATATATATATGCTATATATTTTACTGCATAGAATATATAATATATTATATAGCATAGAATATATTATATATTATATATTAATTATATAATATACATTACATATTATATATAATATATTATATTATTATGCTATATCATATATTATATATGTTATATATGTATATATATATTATATATACACATATACACATACATACACACATGTATATTTTAATAGCTAATATCTTACACTGGTATATTTATATTACATATGATTATATACAAATATTTTTGTACTTTATGTTTATGCTGTATATACAGATGTAATTAGTTGTTTATGTTATATGTAATATAAACATGATGTATATTCTTATTTTCCTGTGAGGACCCACTGTCTTCTTAATACACTGTCTTCTGACCAAAGTCTTCCACACAAATCAGCTGTTACTATATATATATATATAATATTTATATACACATATACACATACATACGCACATATGTATATTTTAATAGCTAATATCTTACACTGATATATTTATATTACATATAGTTACATACTAATATTTTTGTAGTTTATGTTTATACTATATATACAGATGTCGTTAGGTATTTATGTTATATATAATATATTAACATGATGTATATCCTTATATTCTTCTGGGGACTCACTGTCTTCTTAATACACTGTCTTCTGACTAGAATATTCCAGACAAATCACTGGTTGCTCTCTCTCTCTCTATATATATATTTTTTAATAGCTAATATCTTACACTGATATATTTATATTACATATAGTTATATACAAATATTTTTGTACTTTTGTTTATACTATATACACAGATGTAGTTAGCTATTTATGTTATATATAATATATCAACATGATGTATATTCTTATATTCCTCTGGGGACTCACAGTCTTCTTAATACACTGTCTTCTGACCAGACTCTTCCAGACAAATCAGCTGTTGCAATATATATATTTATTTATTTTTTAATAGCCAGTATCTTACACTGTGGCTCATGCCTGTAATCCCAGCACTTTGGGAGGCCAAGGCGGGTGGATCACCTGAGGTCAGGAGTTTGAGACCATCCTGGCTAACACAGTGAAACCCCATCTCTACTAAAAATACAAAAATTGATTGGGTGTGGTGGTGCATGCCTGTAATCCCAGCTACTCGGGAGGCTGAGGCAGGAGAATCGCTTGAACCCAGGAGGCAGAGGTTGCAGTGAGCCGAGATCGTGTCGCTGCACTCCAGCCTGGGCAACAGAGCGAGACTCCATCTCACACACACAAAACATCTTACACTGATGTATTTATATTACGTGTAGCTGTATATAAATATTTTTGTACTTATATGCTGTGTACTTATATTCTATATATTATAAAACATTTTATAAAATTATACATGTATAAAATGTTACATAAAAATTTTAATATAATACCATTTTATTGCATATATTTCTAAATTTAATATAATGAAATTTTATATATAATAATGTATAACATTTCTAAATTTATTATAATACAATGATATATAATTATTTTCTCATATTATAATTATACATAAGATAATTTATTATAAATAAAATTTTATATAATCTACATTTATTATAATAAAACATATAACACATTTCTAAATTTAATACAATAAAATACTATGTATAATAATTTATAACGTTTCAAAATTTATTATATAATTTTATTATACAATTATTTTGTACATAATTATATATAGTATATAATTGTATTTATAGAAATATAATTATGCATATACAATATGTAATTTTATTTTTACATAGTATATATGCATAATTATGTATTAACAAATATAATAATAATTTTATATACTTATTTACATTAAGTTACATATTATATAAATGATGTTATATGTTATATATATTACATATATTTTTGCTTAATATATTAAATTTAATCTATAAAATTATGTATTACAAATAAAAGTGTATTTTACATATACACTACATATAACTTTATTTATATAAAAATATAAAAGTCACATGGTTAAGTTAATAAAATATATTTATATCAATCTATTCATATAAAATATACACAATGCATATTTATATAAATACAAAGTATATAAAACTTTTACCAGTAGGATGCAAAGAGTTGCTGACCGTCTGCAGAAATCCTGAACCTCTGGAAGCAGAATAAAATCTTACCTCCCAGTCTGCTTTGAAAGGAACAGTAAAGCAGTCCCGAACCCCAAACCCACCCTAAGGGGAGATGGGGGAGTTGGGATGGACACGTTGACCAGTGAGGACTTTCCTTTGCTGGTTTTGAGGTGTCTTAGCCCAGAAGCTAAGACGGGAAGTGATTCTGGAGCAGGTGAGCTGATCACAAGCCTGAGCCAAGAATCCATGGAGCTCATAAATAGCAGAAGCCAGGACCCTGTGCAAATCCTTCTGAAATATCCCCCGTTTACTGGGCTCCTAGGGGTGGGGAAGAAAAATTCCCTGACATTTCGGCCTCAGGGAAAGAGAGAGACATCCCACTGGCCGGAAGCCTCTGCTATTTTTCAGAAGACACCTGGGGCATCACCCTTTCCCAAATGACGGTGATTTTCAGAGTGGTTCACTTTTTGGAGAGACATTTCTGCCCTGGAGATCCATACATATTGAATCCAAACGAATACTTTTTAATTAAAAAAAATTAAACATTAGAAAGTTCAATATTGAGGCAGCTACGAGTTTGAATTCCTCATTTTTCCTAAATGCATGTTGTCAAAATCTGTATTGCATTTAGTAACTACCTATGTTTCTAATGTATATAAGGTTACACAATGTTTTCTTCTTTTTCTCCTCCTCAGGGTCAGAATTTGAAATAAAAGTTTTGGAAAGAAAAAACACTCTTGTCTGTTTGTGCAAAAATAAAAGAACCCATATTTTAAGAATATTTTAAGATAAATACAAATTGTGTGTGTGGGGGGGTTGCTTATAAGAATTCTTCATATCCTAAATCAAAGATAGATCTTGTTATTAACCAGAAAACAAAATGTGTGTGTATAAATGTACAACACTCTTACACTCACACAAACACAGGCACACATGTGCACACACACATTCACGCACTCACTGATGTACTCACACAAACACAGGCATTCATGTATAAATACACACCTAAGCATGTATTTATGGAAATATAATTATGCACATACAACATATAATTTTATTTTTACATAGTATATATACATAATTATGTATTAACAAATATAAGATCAATTTTATTATATACTTATTTACATAAAGGTATATATGATATAAATGATGTTATATGGCATGTATATATCACATATAACTTTGCTTAGTATATAAAATTTAATCTATAAAATTATGTATTACAAATAAAAGTATATTTTACATATACACTATATATAACTTTATTATTTATATGAACTATAAAAATCATATGTTTATATTAATAAAATATATTTATTTATATCAATATATTAATATAAAGTATACACAATGTATATTTATATAAAAATTTTTAATTAAAAAATATTCATTTTGGTTCAATATGTATGGATCGCCAGGGCAGAAACGTCTCTTCAAAAGGTGAACCGTTCTCAAAATCACCGTCATTTGGGAAAGAGTGATGCCCCATCCGTTTTCTGAGAAACAGCAGAGGCGTATGGCCAGTGGGGTGTCTCTCTCTTTCCCTGAGGCCGAAAAGTCAGGGAATTTTTCTTCCCCACCCCTAGGAGCTCTGTAAACCGGGGATATTTCAGAAGGATTTGCACAGGGTCCTGGCTTCTGTTGTAAATGAGCTCCATGGATTCTCAGCTCAGGCTTGTGATCAACTCACCTGCTCCAGAATCACTGACACAAATGCAACCACACACTTACACAAACACACATCAACACGAAGACAGAATCACAAAACACACTCATAGAAACACATGGACACACAAAGACATGCACACTCACACAAACGCAGGGACACACACACAAACACAATTACAAAAATGTGTGTTTTTTTGCACACGTGGGTGCACATGCACATTGACATTCTCACAAAGCACACAAACATGTATACATACAAAGACACTCATAAACAGAATCATGAAAACACTCTCATATAAACACGTGGATGGCTACTCACCCACAAAGACACTCACATATGTCATACACACTCATACACACACTCAGAATCACACAAGCACACACAAACACATAAATACAGTCACACACTCATGCAAACACAGTCACAAAAAGACTCACATAATCATGTGGACACACAAACATAAAAATTCACACACCGGGGCCGGGCAAGGTGGCTCACGCCTGTACTCCCAGAACTTTGGGAGGCCGAGGCGGGCAGATAACTTGAGGTCGGGAGTTCCAGACCAGCCTGGCCAACATGGTGAGACCCCGTCTCTACTCAAAAATACAAAAATTAGCCAGATGTGGTGGCGTATGCCTGTAATCCCAGCTACTCAGGAGGCTGAGGCAGGAGAATCATTTGAACCCGGGAGGCAGAGGTTGCAGTGAGCCAAGATTACGCCACTGCACTCCAGCCTGGGCAACAGAACGAGACTCTGTATCAAAAAAGAAAAATTAGCCAGATGTGGTGGTGGGTGCCTGTAATCCCAGGTACTCAGGAGGCTGAGGCAGAAGAATCATTTGAACCCGGGAGGCGGAGGTTGCTGTGAGCTGAGATTGTGCCTTTGCACTCCAGTATGGGTGACAGAGCGAGACTCCGTCTCAAAAAAAAAAAAAGAATTTATACATTGCCATACAGATTCACACACATACATTCATATTCACAAACACACAAATACGATAAACACAGGGGCACACACAAACACCATCACAAAAACACACTTCCATAAAACACAGGAATGCACGCTCACACAGAAACATGCATGGAAACACACGTTGTCTTACAGACTCACAGAAACACTCATCATCACATAAACAGGCACACACAGCCACACAAGCACACACCCACACCCACATCAACACACACACTCCCACACGGCACCCACGCGCTCACTCACACAGGTAGAACAGGCCTGCATTACCTGATAACGCAGTTAAATCAGACGTGATGCTGCCTACCGAGGAGACCTGGAGGCTTCCCATGAATGGGCTTTCAGAAGAGAGGTCTCTGGGTGCATTTGGTGACACCCCAGGCAGTGGGGGAGACGTCCAGGCTGGAAGGCCAGCCACAGCCAGCTCTGCTCAAGGATGCCACGTCCATTTGCTTCAGTAGGATATGCACCCTGGTAACCCAGGTTCCTGCCTCTCCAGGAAACCCCACTGAGGTCAGCACATCCCCCCAGGTTTAGAAGGGGTCTCTGGGTGCATTTGGTGACACCCCAGGCAGGGGGGGGACATCCAGGCTGGAAGGCCAGCCACACCTAGCTCTGCCCGCAGATGCCATGTCCATTTGCTTCAGTAGGATCTGCATCCTGTAAACCCTGGTTCCTGCCTCTCCAGGACACCCCACTGAGGTCAGCACACTGCCCAGGTTTAGAAGGGGTCTCTTGGTGAAATGTGGTGACACCCCAGGCAGAAGGGGGGACGCCACAGCCAGCTCTGCCCGCGGATGCCACGTCCATTTGCTTTAGTAGAATCTGTACCTTGGATTCCCAGGTTCCTGCCTCTCCAGGACACCCCACTGACGTTAGCACACCCTCCAGGTTTACAAGCGGTCTCTGGGTACATTTGGTGACACCGCAGGCAGAGGGGGGACGCCACAGCCAGCTCTGCCCGCGGATGCCACGTCCATTTGCTTCAGTAGGATCTGCACCCTGTAAACCCTGGTTCCTGCCCCTCCAGGACACCCCACTGAGGTCAGCACCCCCCACCCCCCACCCCCAGGTTTGTCCAGCTTCGCTGTCTGGGGAGAGACACAGAAAGACCACATTCGGTGGAATTCTGGCTATAACCTTTTGTGGCCGGCAAGAAGGATCACCAAGCTGTCCTGTTACCTTGCTGGAGTGATCACTGGTTTCACGCTTGGCCCCCGTGCAGTGAGTGCCTGGGCCAGGCTCGATTCCTGGAGCTCCGGTGAAATTTGGGCTTGGAGCTCATGCCTGCACCATCCAGAAAGCAGAAGGCAGCCGGCCCGGGCTGTACGGTTTGTAGAATCAGAGAGAACACTGTTTGCCTTCATGTCTGTACCACAATAAATCTGCCAACTGCAGTCAAAGTCTCTGGATTCCTGACCCCTCATTTTATTTTGTCTATTACGGAGTGGAAGGAGTGAGAAAGATTTTGCTTCCTATTTTGTTTTGCAAAGTGTTTCTAAGAAAAACAACCCATGTTCTGAAAATGAGATTCTGAGTGTCCCCTGGGCGTGATGAAAACAAATTTTGGGAATCCAAGGGCCTGAGAGGCAGAGTGAATGTCATTTGCATTTCCCTGCGAATGACAAAGTCACTTTTTATTTATTATTATTATTATAGATTCAGGGGATCCACGGGCAGCTTTGTGACCTGAGGATATTGTACGTTGCTGAGGTTTGGGGTATGAATAATCCCGTCACCCAGGCACTGAGCATTGTACATTCCTGAGGTATATAATGTGTACTAAAAATAAAATGCATATTTATATATGCACTAATGATTCAACTTGATTCCTTGTAATTAAGAAAAACAAACCCCAAATTCTAGAGGAGTTCTAGAATATATAAGAAGAGGTCCAGGTGCAGTGGCTCATGCCTGTAATCCCAGCACTTTGGGAGGCCGAGGCAGGCAGATCACCTGAGGTCAGGAGTTCGAGACCAGCCTGGCCAACATGGTGAAAGCCCGTCTCTGCTAAAAATACAAAAATTAACCAGGTGTGGTGGCGGGTGCCTGTAATCCCAGCTACTTGGGAGGCTGAGGTAGAAGAATTGCTTGAATCCAGGAGGCAGAAGTTGCAGGGAGCCGAGATTGCACCACTGCACTCCAGCCTGGGTCACAGAGCGAGACTCCATCTCAAAAAAAAAAAAAAAAAAAAAAAAAGAGCGAGAGAGAAAACAAACAAGCAAGAAAATGCAACAGAAAAATCCGTGACCCAAAGCTCTCTCCAGTTGCTGCTTTCTGCCTGAAATTCAAAGAATCTCAGGGTAGTTTTTCAACCCTTGTACCCCCGCCCCTGCTTCCTGCTCTATTAGTACTGAGGGTCTGTGGTGCCCCTTCATTGTGTCCAGGTGCAGGCAATGTTTAGCTCCCACCTATAAGCGAGAACATGTGGTATTTGATTTTCTGTTCCTGGCGTTAATTCACTAAGCATAGTGCCCTTCAGCTTCATCCACGTGACTACAAAGGGCATGATTTTATTCTTGTTCATGGCTGTGTAGTATTCCATGATGCGGAAGGACCACATTTGCTTTATCTAATTGAGAACATGTGGTATTTGATTTTGTTTCTGGCATTAATTCACTAAGCATAATGCCCTTCAGCTTCATCCATGTTGCTGCAAAGGGCATGATTTTATTCTTGTTCATGGCTGTGTAGTATTCCATGATGCAGAAGGACCACATTTGCTTTATCTAGTGAAGAACATGTGGTCTTTGATTTTCTGTTCCTCATATTGATTCACTAAGCATAATGCCCTCTGGCTGCATCCATGTGGCTGCAAAGACAAGATTTTATTTTTTTCATCACTGTGTAGTATTCCGTGGTGTAGAAGGGCCACATTTGCTTTATCCAGTTGAGGACATGTAGTATTTCATTTTCTGTTCCTGGCATTAATTCACTAAGCATAATGTCCTTCAGCTGTGTCCATGTGGCTGCAAAGGACATGATATTATTCTTTTTCATGGCTGCGTAGTATTCCATGATGCAGAAAGACCACATTTGCTTTATCTAGTGGAGAACATGTGGTATTCGATTTTCTTTTCCTGGCATTAATTCACTAAGCATAATTCCCTTCAGCTGCATCCATGTGGCTGCAAAGACATGATTTTATTCTTTTTCATGGCTGTGCAGTATTCCATGGCGTAGAAGGGCCACAATTGCTTTATCCAGTCAAGAACATGTGGTATTTGATTTTCTGTTCTTAATTCATTAAGCATAATGCCCTCCAGCTACATCCATGTGGCTGCAAAGGATGTGATTTTATTCTTTTTCATGGCTGTGTAGTATTCGATGCTGTAGAAGAACCACTTTTGCTTTATCCGGTACCCTACTGATGGGCAACTAGGTTGATTCCATGACTTTCCTATTGTAAGTCATGCTGTGACAAACCTTACAGGGCTGGGCACTATAATCCCAGCACTCTGGAGGGCCAAGGTGGGCAGATCACCTGAGGTCAGGAGTTCAAGACCAGCCTGGTCAACATGGTGAAACCCTATCTCTACTAAAAATACAAAAACTAGCCAGGCATGGTGGCGCATGCCTGTAATCCCAGCTGCTCAGGAGGCTGAGGCAGGAGAATCACTTTAACCCAGGAGGCAGAGGTTGCAGTGAGCCAAGATTGCTACTGCACTCCAGCATGGGCAATAGAGCGAGACGCCATCTCAAAAAACAAACAAAAAAAAAGGAACTTTACCATGCATGTATCTTTTTGGTAGAATGACTTCTTTTCCTCTGGGTAGATGCCCAGTCTTGGAATTGCTGGTGCAAATGGTGGAGCAGTTTGGATTCAGGAGGTACATGTACAGGTTTCTTACATGCGGACGATGTGTGATGCTGAGGTCTGGGGTATGAGTGATCCCATCACCCAGATAGTGAGCATAATACCCCACAGTTGGTTTTTTCAACTCTTGTCCTTCTACCTTCCTCTCTCCCCCTAACTAGAACCCAGTATCTGTTCCCTTCTCTGTGTCTACCTATACACAACATTTAGCTCCCACTTATAGTGAGAACATGCAGCATTCTGTTAATTTACTTAAGATAATGGCCTCCACACTGTTCACAATAGCAAAGATGTGGAACCAACCCAAATGCTCATCAGTGATAGACTGGATAAACAAAATGCAGCACATAGACACTGTGGAATACTATGCAGCCATGAAAAAGGATGAGTTCATGTCCTTTGCAGGGACATGGATGAAGCTGGAAACCCTCATGTTCAGCAAAGTGAAACAGGAACAGAAAACCAAACAGTGCATGTTCTCACCATAAGAGGGAAGTGAACAATGAGAACACATCGACCCGGAGAGGGGAACATCACACACTGGGGCCTGTTGCAGGGGTGGGGGACTGGGGGAGGGACAGCATTATGAGAAATATCTAATGTAGATGATGGGTTGATGGGTGCAGCAAACCGCTATGGCACATATATATCTATGTAACAATCCTGCACATTCTGCACATATACCCCAGAACTTAAAGTAGAATAGAAAAAATAAAAAATAATAAAAATAATTAAAAAAGATAATGGCCTCCAGCTACATCCATGTTGCTGCAAAAACAAACAAACAAAAAAAACAAAAAAATGATTTTGTTCCTTTTCAGGGTTGCGTAGTATTCCATGGTGTAGATGTACCACATTTTCTTTGAGGGTAGAGGGTGGGAGGAGGGAGAAGATCAGCAAAAATAACCTGTGGCTGGGTGTGGCAGCTCACACCTGTATTCTCAGCAGTTTGGGAGGCTGAGGTGGGTGGATCACCTGAGGTCAGGAGTTTGAGATCAGCCTGGCCAACATGGCAAAACCCTATCTCTACTAAAAGTACAAAAATTAGCCGGGCATGGTGGTGCACGCCTGTAATCCCGGCTCCTCTGTAGGTTGAGGCAGGAGAATCTCTTGAACCCAGGAGGCAGACATTGCAGTGAGCCGAGATCGTGCCACTGCCCTCCAGCCTGGGCCACAGAGTGGGACTCCATCTCAAAAAATAATCATAAAAATAATAATAATAACCTGCTAGGCTTAGGACCTAGGTTGATTCCATTACAAAAAAAAAAAAGAAAAAACTAACTTTTTAAAAGAAGGATCTCTCTGTTCAAAAACAAAACCAATGCCCTGTCAGGAAAGATGTTCTGTGTTTCTGGTAAAGCTGGAAGGAACCTACAGGAAGGAGTCACCCCATAAAACTAGTGGAGCAGCATTACCTTTTGAGGTGAGGGCTACTTCTGTTAGGCCACCAGGATGAGTGCCTTCCTGGGGAGTGTGGTTCATCCTATACCATCCAGGAAGCAATTCCTGCCCCCAAATCACTTGCCAGCTTCTGCCCCGTAAGTAAAATCCCCAGCAAGCGGGCAGCAAGGAGCTGCTTGCCTTGGAAGTCAGCTGAAGTCTCTGCCCACCACCCAGACTGTGTCCTCTGGGAAAGGCCAGGTCTTCCAGTTGGATGGTTTTCACATTAGCGGCTGCTTAGAATCATCAACATTGGCCAGGCACGGTGGCTCATGTCTGTCATCTCAGCACTTTGGGAAGCTGAGGCGGGCGGATCACAAGGTCAGGGACCAGCCTGGCCAACATGGTGAAACCCTGTCTCAACTAAAAAAAAATACAAAAATTAGCTTGGTATGGCTGGGCATGGTGGCTCATCCCTGTAATCCCAGCACTGTGGGAGGCTGAGGCGGGCGGATCATGAGGTCAGGAGATCAAGACCATCCTGGCTAACATGGTGAAACCCTGTCTCTACTAAAAATACAAAAAATTAGCCAGGCACGGTGGCAGGCACCTGTAGTCCCAGCTACTCGTGAGACTGAGGCAGGAGAATGGCGTGAACCTGAGAGGTGGGGTTTGCAGTGAGCCCAGATTGCGCCACTGCACTCCAGCCTGGGCGATATAGAGTGAGACTCTGTCTCAAAAAAATTAAAATAATAAAAAATTAGCCTGGTGTGGCGGTGGGCACCTGTAATCCCAGCTACTCAGGAGGCTGAGGCAGGAGAATTGCTTGCACCCCAGAGGCAGAGGTTGCAGTGAGCCGAGATTGCACCATTGCACTCCAGCCTAGACAACAGAGTGAGAATCTGTTGCAAAAAAAAAAAAAAAAAAAAAAAAGGAATCATCAACATTGCCTTGGCCCAATCTCTTCCCAGACTTGTCAAATATTTACCACTGGACCTCCATGTTCTAGTTTCAAAGCTCTGCTGGCCACGGTGGCTCATGTCTGTCATCCCAGCACTTTGGGAGGCTGAGGTAGGAGGACTGCTCGAACCCAGAAGCATGAATCCATCCTAGGCAACATAGTGATAATAGTGTCAAATGAGAGCCAGTGTCCAGTAATTCCCCAAATATCTGAGAATTTTCTTTTCTTTAAGTCACAGTCATCCTGGCAGAAGGCTGTAGGTCCCTTTGGGGAAGACTGGGAAAAAGATTAACAATGTAAATTTTTGGCAATGTAGCAGCGTACTTCCCCAAGATCACCCAGCCTCCCCTTCACTTAAGGGGTTGTGGGCCTGTGAACTGGCTCAAGTCTGGGAATTGATTGAGGGTTTTAGATCTGTGTTTCATTAATTTGAGTTAGTCTTTTATTCAGTTGACCTAGAATTCTTCATTTTTTAAACAACAACTAAGACTTTGGTACAGCCCATTAGCTCTCCCTGTGGATACCATGGACTACACAATGCCATGGGTGTCTGTGAGTCAAACCATTCTGACTGCTGCTTTGACACTGCTTTCCACTGTGGTGACCACACCCACCTCATCTTTGGTGATTAAGGACAGCCCATGTTCCCTGCCACCCCAGGATTCAATTATCCTCATTTTACTTAAAGATACCAGTCCAGTGGCTGCAGTTCCTGCTGTAACATTTTGCCTACTGAGAGCACAAGCTCAAAGCTCTTCCAGGATACTGGGCTCATCTCACAATATTCTTTCTCATGATCGTTGTGAGGAGTATGTTCTGTAGACCCTTCAGTGTGAGTGAGCAGGTCTGACATAATAAATCCAGTCTCCCTGAGTTTTTGCATACCTTTCTGTACACATAAACCAAGGAAGTTGTGGCATCTCAACTTTATGTACCTTAGGTAAACTCTGATTCTGTTTCAGCCAACCAACCAAGTCACCAAACAAATAAGCAAACAGCCAACCAATCAACCAACAAGCAAACAAGCAAGCAACAAACCAACCAAACAACCAAGCAAGGAAACAAGCACCACCAACCAAGCAAGCAACCAACCAAGTAACCGATCAAACCAACCCTTGGAGCCCTTTCTAAAGCTTTGACCTACAACTCTGAGTCCAGAATCTCTGTTTAGTGGGCCAACATTAATAAATTTAGCCTAATCCAACTTTATGTTACTTTCACCATGGTGCCACACACTTAATATCCATTCCCACATATATTCTCCAGATTTCCTTCTGTATAAATTGCATGTGTGTGTGTGTGTGTGTGTGTGTGTGTAGAAAGAGAGGATCAACTGAAAAATCACACAATTTTATAAATTTAGAAAAGAGAGCTTTATTTCTTATAAAGGTTTGCAGCCTGCAAGGTGGCCATTATGACAGGCTGGGAAGTGTGGCCTACAGCCAAGGCCAGAGGCAGGCATTTCCAGGGAGGGAGGGAGAGGACAGGAATTTGAGCCAAATGAGTTGGCTACATATACATACTCAATAGGATATCAGAGGAGCTATATCATTTTATGAGAATACTCATAAAAGAGGTCCTAACACATGCATATTCAATAAACATGCATGTTCATTCTGGGGTGGAGACTTGACATTTAAATGTATTATAATTAGGCCCTACACATCAAAAAGTGAAGCAGGGACATGAAGGTACTCAGCCTCGTAAAGGCACAGCCTCTAAAACTGGCCAGAACCAGTCCATGGAGGATGGTCTCTTATCAGGAGAAAGTTACTGAAATCAGTCCCTTGTCCAGAGAAAGCTGTCGTTAAGGTTAGTGGGGCAGGAGATCAGTTACTCAGCATCTGTGAACTGGGTGAGTTGTAATTGTTTTAATCTTCTCTCACAGCCATCTCTCACAGCCAGTGCTTGCTTGGCTGCTAGAGAAAAATAAAACCCATGTGGTAGCTAGAATCTAGTTAATTCTTTAAGAGTAGGGTACAAGACTTAACCCTCGCCTGGCATGGCCCTAGGTCCTGTTTATAATTTGAGGTCTTATTGCCACAAAGAGTCTGTTCTGTCAGTCTCATGATCTCTATTTTAACATCAATGCTGTTCAGTTGTTGGGTCTAAACCATAAGAGGGAGGGAGGTACAGGGAGGTATGTCTGACTTCCTGTCCTGTCATGGCCAAGAACTGAATTTTAAGATTTATTTGAGGTTCCGTTGGCCAACAGGGGGTCTGTTAAGTTGGGTGGGGGGCTTAGGATTTTAGTTTTAGTTCTCAAGGGAGATAAAATAATTTAATCAATTGGCCCCTGCGACTGTGGGACTAACATGGCTATGATCTGTCGGACAGACTTCAGGGTGGCACCCAGGCAAAATTCTATGCTGTAGTAAATGCATCATGCACATTTGTAACAATATGTACATAACAATGTCACAAAATACTTTCACGGTGACACCTAGATTAGTATTTTATTGAATAGCTGATGATATAAACTGGCTCATTTGATGCCAAGACTGACCATTACCACCATACCAACGTCATCACTGATCAGAGGCCTAACCCAAGGAGGGGGTCATGTGCAGACCCAGCAGTGGGGAGGAAAGATGCTGCAGAGGAGACAGATGCCCACAGAGGCCCCTGAGCAGATACCATGCTCACTAAGTGGTAAGTATAGACTCAACGTAGGCTGTAAGGTCTCCCCCTGTGCAAATGGGACATCCACTTGAGAGTCAAGGGTCTGTTTGGGTGGCAGGGATAGCCACTTCTGAAGGTAGAAAGGAAATAAGCCACCAAATTGGTATCTTTCTGTGAAATGGACATCGTGCTTAGAATCTCCATTTTCCCCACAACCTGGAGGAATAAGTACTGTCATGTGCATTTTGTAGCTGAGGAATCTGATGCAACAAAGTTAAATTACTTGCCTAAGCAATTAGCAATTAACCAAGTCTTTCTGACTCAGAAACTCAGCTGTTGCCTGTTCATATCCAGCCCCTGTATTGGGGTCAAGATCTGGCCTGTTCTCAATGCAGCAAGATCCAGGCAGATCACACTGGACTCCCAGCACTGAATCTGGCTCAAGGGGACATCAAATTTGACTGGGTCGTGGGGCTCAGGAGCATCACTCTCAAAAATAGTGGTACAGGAAGAGGCGATGACCCTAAACAGCATTTGCAGGCAGATCCCATGTTAATAATAAGGGTCAGGACTCTCTCACTTTTCTGTCTCTCTCTCTGTCTCTCCTCTAGGGCTGACCCCACATTGGACACCACTGCATCCATGTCCATCACACACCACAGCTGCCTTTTCTTCTGCCTGCTTATGGGAAAGTCCCCTCCTCTCCTCCGTTTTCTTCTCTTCCTGCCCTATCACACCGTGCACTTCTCCCTTTCCTTAAAGAACCACCATCAACTTTAGGAGGAGGGAAAGGGGTGGCTCTGGCAGGAAAAGCCAGAATCCCCTCTAGCCAGCAGAGAGAGAGGAATGGCTGCATGTTTTCTCCCCCAATCCAAGGCACTAGGTTTTGGCTAGGTTGCAGGTTCCAAGCTGCTCTCCTGCTGTGTCGGTGAGTTCTGGTTAACCTGCAACCTCCTGATGTGGCCACTGCAGTTCATCGAGTCTTCAGGGACTCCCCATGGCCTGGAGTACTTTGCCTTGCTTACACGGGAGAGGAGAATGGATTTATAGAGAACATCATCTAAATCCAACTTGACCATTGTGTGGCCACACTTGCTAGATTGCTTTAGTCTAAATCTAGCATTGTAGAAAGACGGGGGAGCTTGGAGCTGCACAAACCCAGGTCTGGAACTGGCTCCTTACCTTGAAAGGTGAATAATCCTGGCAGGACTCTTAGCCTTCCTGGGCCTCAGTTTCTTTATCTGTTTCTTGGGAAGGAGGATCTCTGCTGGTTGGTTGGGTGATGTGGGGGCTGTGTGAAAACAACTTGTCAATACAAGCCAAAACAGGAATATTTCTCCACAGAGTATGAAGGTCAAATGAGAGAATACATTTAAATTAAACGGAAAATTAAAATGGCAAAAAAGGCAAAGCTGTATTGAAAGTTCTGAGCTTCTCTATAAGGAGCTTTTTGACTATGTAAGAATCCTATACTCGTTCCCCCTAAATATAAAAAAAAAAGTTGAAGGAGGCAGAAGGGAGAGTGATGCACGATGGGCGAGGACTTCACCTGCTGTTGCTGGCTTTGAGGATGGAGGAAGGAGGCCACAAACCCAGAAGCTGGAGCCCCTAGAAGCTAGAAAACGCAGGGACCTGATTCATCCCTTGAGCCTCCAGAAGGGACATAGCCCCACCAGCACCTTGACTTTAGCCCAGTGAGATCCTCTTAGGACTTTTGGCAACCAGAACTATAAGACGGAAATGGAAGCCACTGAGTCTGTAGCTGTTTGCTGCAGCAGCAATAGAAAACTAATGCAGAGCCCAAGAAATCACTGGTGATGAGATGGGGAAGTGGGCTCAGGAGGTCTGGATCTGTGATGAGATGGGGAAAGTGGGGGAGGTCTGGATCTGTGATGAGATGGGGAAAGTGGGCTCAGGAGGTCTGGATCTGTGATGAGATGGGGAAAGTGGGCTCAGGAGGTCTGGATCTGTGATGAGATGGGGGAAGTGGGCTCAGGAGGTCTGGATCTGAGTTGGGGATCTGGAGTGGAAGGGGAATTCATTTGTTCATTGTCTATCCTTTTGCATTGATTCAGTTTTTTTTCCATATATATATATGTGAATTTCACAATAAAAGTTTTTTCCAAAATAAAAGAAACAAAAGGGGCTTTTTGCAACTCAATTCCTATCTATGTCTGAGTCCACTTGTATTGAATGAGTCTTTCTGCTAACGTCCTTATATTTGGGTGACAATCTGAATGTCAGTGACCAATCAGAGCAGAGGCAGACCTTGGAGTGGGCAGGGCATCCTGAGGGCCCTGATTCCTGCCATGAGGCATAACCCTTTAGGTGCCAGACCATGGGGAGGTCCAGGGGTTGCAGGGGAGGGCTGTGCATCTGCAATGACTCTCAGGGGGCTCCCGGTGGTGGCAATTGGTGAATCTGCACGGTGGTGTTTCAATATTGTCACAGCCCTGCTGTCTCTCATGCTCTCAAAAAGCATTTCTCTTACCTGTGACAGACTTCCTATACCTAACAGCTTGCAAAAATGTTCCAGGTTAACGAGAATAATCTCTCGGAGCCATACCTACCTGCTTGGGGTCTCAGTTTCCCCAACTGTCTCCAGACAAGTTAGGCTAGAAGGCCCCTGAGCCTCAGCCCCTCTATACCCCTCCTGTCACCCAGACCTGATCTGGGGCTTGCACCCTGGGTGCAGCATGACAGGGGTGGGCAGGGGCTGGCTCTGGGCCAGAGGACCCTTTCTGATGGACTTCAGCTGTTGGCCTTCCAGGGGAGACTGATCAACCTCACAAGAGTCATACGGTGAGTAGCGGTGGGCAAATCCATCCCCCTCATCTTAGATTTATGGGGAGACAGAGAGAAAGAGGAGACACTCCAGGAAGACCTGCAGGTGGGAGTACCAGGTTGAAACCAAGGACACCTTCCTGGAGGAGCTGCTGTTTGAGCCAGCTCTGAGAACAGGTGGGGACAGGACTGGAGAGGAGAAGGGTGTCCCCTATGAGCAAAGACTGGCCACCACCCAATCTAACACCCCCACAGGGCCCCTGTGGCATCCCTGTCCAGTCCCTGTCACCACCCAGTTTTTCCCTCTGGACCCAGGAATTCAAAGTAAGCAAGGAGGTCCGCTGCTCCAGTTGGCTGCATATAATTACAACCTTGAGCCCAAGCAGCACTTTGGGTCCTGGTTTGGGACCATGAAGCGGCTCGGTGAGACTGAGAGGTAAGGCCAGGGCAGGAATTGGGATAGTGGGATTGAACTCTCCCTGGGGGCCAGCCTCAGAAAGCCTGTGGCCATGGCCTCTTGGTCAACATCAGATCCTGTGGTCTGGCAATGCCTGGGGTACCCAGACCTCACTCTGGACAGGCCCTGGGAGGGGGCCCTGGTGAGATTCCTGGCAGCCTCACAGCCACTCTTCTGTCCATAGCTACAACATGTCATGCCAGCTGGAGGCTCCATCCCAGTTGGCTGGGAGCACAAAGGCCAGGAAGATAGACATCACCCACCACAGGAGCCAGTCGGGTCCTGAACCAGGGCGGGCAGAGGTTGGCTGCCTTGGGATATGGGTGGGCTCAGGGAGTCAGACAGCAAGGGACTAGCCTCCCATCCTACTGCTGACCAGCCCTGTGACTGGGGAGAGTCACCTTACTTCTCTGGGCCTCAGTTTCCCCCTCTGTGGAGTGACACTAAATGATCTCTCTGGAGACTGGGATCAATAGGGCACTGGTGATTGACCAGGCACTCAGCACATGCCTGGAGCACACGGTGCAGGGCTGTGGTGGGGAGGTGGCCTGAGTTCCTGGGGAGTCACCCATGTGTGCCTGCCGTTCTGACCAGCCACCAGGCACTCAGGGCAGAGCCCACTACCAGCAGCAGCTCACACCCCGATACCAGCTCAGAGGCGGCCCCTAGCTCAGCAGCAGGGACATCACGGACACTTTAAGCTGCTACTAGGGTGGCTTCTCCAGCTCCCACGTGGAGAGGGGTCCCAGCTGAGTCCCACTCACGTGGAGTCTCATGCCCATGAAACTGCCATTCACCACTGGCCAGGCTCATGAGGCCGCATGAAACGGGGGTCACTGGGCAGGAGATATCGGGGGAACAGAGAGGGTGGTTGAATTTTTGTATAATAGGCAGTGCAAGTGTTTACCGTTTGGGAGGGGAAAGGTTTGTTATTATTAGCAATGTTACACTTGAATATTATACTAAAATCCAGTTTCTCTATAACCTGGGAGTTGCTCTTTTGTTCTTTCTTTTCCCATCTTAATTAAAATGAGATGCAGACTCTCACGGTCCACAGTCGATTAAGAAATCTTGCACGGCCATCAGGTTATGTCTTGGAGAGCAGAGTTTCAGTACCATCAGCCTGGCAAGGAGCCGAGCCTGCTCCTCAGAGCTGCCGGGACTGCGAGAATTGGCATGTTCACAGGGCACTGTCACAGCCTCTGAAACATGCTGTCTTTAAAGACGTTTGCAGGCTGCATGCGGTGGCTCACTCCTGTAATCCCAGCACTTTGGGAGGCAGAAGCGGGGGGCTCACTTGAGGTCAGGAGTTCGAGACCAACATGGCCAACATGGCAAAACCCCATCTCTACTAAAAATACAAAAAATTAGCCAGGTGTGGTGGCAGGTGCCTGTAATTCCAGCTACTTGGGAGGCTGAGGTAGGAGAACTGCTTGAACCCAGGAGGCGGAGGTTGCAATGAGCAGAGATCACACCACTGCACTCCAGTCTGGGCAACAAGAGCAAAACTTCATCTCAAAAAAAAAAAAAAAAAAACACAAAGACATTTGCAAGGACCATGTCCTCACCCAGAATGGTGCCTGCCTTTCTACAGTTTTTCAGGAAGAGGAAACATTTTCTGCTTCTCTCGCTGAGGTTTTTTTTAACCACCCATTAGGAACCTATAGATTTCAGGATCGAACACTGGGATTCCCTCAGCACTAAAGGAGGAAAATTGCAAACAGAGCTGAAAGTGCAATGTGCAAAGGTGAGGCTAAGGAAGGTTCTTAGCCAGTAGACCAAGGGCAGGAAGGACACTGCCTCCTCAGTCTCCCACTAGGGAACTTGTGATTCGTCTCCCCTGACCTCAGAATTCCTTGTCATGTTTGTTTTGTCTCCAAGGGAAGGGTTTGAATTACAGAATTTAAGGCTAGAGTGAGCCTCGTGCAGTTAACATTAACCCTCTCTCTCCTTCGCTGGCCGAGGTGAAGTCCGGGAACATGTAGTTCTGACGTCCACTCTCTCGGGGGATCACCAGTTCACCCATCTCACCTGGCAAGCTGGGCCCTAGTTTGGCGACAGGCATCTTCCACCCACCTGGGAGGCAGGGTTCAACACTCCGCCTCTGACCTTGTTTCCTTCTTCTGCCATCTGCTTAGGCAGCCAGAAGGGGTTGTCCAGCCAGCACCTGGGCTTTGGCGCTCCTCAAGTAGGTGGAGGAAGTTTCAGGCACCTGGCTCCTCAGGTGTCTGCCATCCAGGTGCTCTTCAGGCCTGCCCAGCAGAGCTCTCTTGATCCAGCTAGAACTGGCCAGAACTGACTCACTCAGGAATGTGTAGACTTTGGCATCAGGGGCTGCTTTAATTTGCACAATTTCCAAATACCTCTTTTTTCTTCTTTTTCTGATGAGTCATCTCCCTAGACTTGCATTTTAAAGAGATAGATAGTTATCAGGTTCCAGAGAAGACATGGTAGAACATTTATATCTCAAAGACACAGAGCTGAGACTTCAGTTTTAGATACTATAATTTGCCTAAACCAAAAAGGAAGGTGTAGGTAAAGTTCTAGTCAAGACAGGATGGCCAGGAAAAACACCTTAAACCAAGGGACGGCTTGCTTTGCTGATTTAAGCCAATGGCTTCTTTATCATAAGACTTCCCAGTGATTTAGTCCTCCCTCTCTTCCAGTGCACAGAGACATACCCCTCCTTACAAATAAAAATGTTCTTTATAGATGTAAATTTATTTTACAAAAATGTTTCAAAATGACCAGATGAAAATCATCCTTATGCCAGAAAGACTTGTTTTTTTTTTTTTCATTACTAGAAATGAAACAGTAAGTATTTGTTGTATTGACATACTTAGGCTTAGACCTATGTTTAACATGAAAGCCTAATAATAGCACTGTGGTTAGACTGCAGCCTATTTTTCCAAACCATCATTTTATTATTAAGGAAACGAAGGATCAAATACCTTTCATTCATCTGATATGATCCTTTAAAACACATTCCACTAATAAGTCCCATTTGGAACAGCTGAAAATCTTTTAATAAAACTTTTTAAAGATGAGCTCATGGCTTAGTGTAAATTTCACAAGCTTAATTAGGTCAAATGGAAGGAACTCAGATGAGTAGTTGCCCAATCAGAGCCCATTTGTAAGTCATCAGACCCCTCCATGACCTTAAAACTCCACTCTGACTTAATTATTGCAAACCTATATACAACAAAGTGAAAGGATTAATTTTCATTCATCAACCTCTCAATCCCAGATTTTCAAAGAAAAAACCTATGTAAGGAATACTTACCAAAACCACACAGGAAAATTGGAGCCTGCATACTTTAGAGTCAAATTTGTTCCACTACAGCCAGGTCGCATACAATTACATCATTTGGTTCTTCATACACTCTAGAACTGACTAGGACAGAGTTTAGCATAGAAAAACTGTAAGAAATCGGTTCTGAAACATAGAAATTGCAAAGTTCAAAAGGCTATGAAAAAAACTAATGTAAATGAGAGACTCCCCTCCTTTTGTTTTAAAGAAATAGACCCATCAGAGAAATGCAAATCAAAACCACAATGAGATACCATCTCACACCAGTTAGAGTGGTGATCATTAAAAAGTCAGGAAACAACAGGTGCTGGAGAGGATGTGGAGAAATAGGAACACTTTCACACTGTTGGTGGGACTGTAAACTAGTTCAACCACTGTGGAAGACAGTGTGGCCATTCCTCAGGGATCTAGAACTAGAAATACCATTTGACCCAGCCATCCCACTACTGGGTATATACCCAAAGGATTATAAATTGTGCTGCTATAAAGACACATGCACACGTATGTTTATTGCGGCACTATTCACAATAGCAAAGACTTGGAACCAACCCAAATGTCCAACAATGATAGACTGGATGAAGAAAATGTGGCACATATACACCATGGAATACTATGCATCCATAAAAAATGATGAGTTCATGTCCTTTGTAGGGACACAGATGAAGCTGGAAACCATCATTCTCAGCAAACTATCGCAAGGACAAAAAACCAAACACCGCATGTTCTCACTCATAGGTGGGAATTGAACAATGAGAACACTTGGACACAGGAAGGGGAACATCACACACCAGGGCCTGTTGTGGGGTGGGGGGAGGGGGGAGGGATAGCATTAGGAGATATGCCTAATATAAATGATGAGTTAATGGGTGCAGCACACCAACATGGCACATGTATACATATGCAACAAACCTGCACATTGTGCATGTGTACCCTAGAATTTAAAGTATAATTAAAAAATAAAAAAAGAAAGAAATAGATGTTCTGTAAAAATATACACAATTTTTACAGACAAATACATTTATAAGTTGTTTTTGTCTTAAAAATTGGGGATATTTCATATTTATAACTAATTATTGAACCTTAAGTTTTCTTGGCCATTTCTAGGCTAATAAACTAAGAATCATGTAAACTAAGCCAAAGTAGAATAGACATAAAAGTCCTGAACACTTCAACTTCTATCCTTCAAGAAGTATACCTCGCAAAGCTCATTTGAGAGAGGAAAATCTTTCCTCCACCCTCTGTTTTACAGCGCTGAGGCTTCTCATCACATTTCTATGACTTGTAGCTTAAATCCATGTTACATGGTCACTGGCATTGTTAGTGCTTCTCTTTTAACACTGTAGGAGATAATCAATTTGGTGATGTATTTAATTCTATCACTAGAGGATTGTAAAATTACATATATTAATACCTCACTTTAGAGGCCACTTAATTTTTTTCCAAGGGGATATTTGACTATATTTCACTTGTGTCTTATTTAATGATTTTATAATTTAAACCCTAAATTATAAATCTAGAATTTAGAAAGTATATTTCCCCACTGGATTACATTTTTGGAAATATTATTTTATATGTGCACAAATATTACAAAATCACTGTAGACACCTGAAAACTATATTATCTTTTAAAGGCAATATTTACATTAAACTGGTATAACAAAATTGTTTGGTGCATTTTTTCCAGTACATTTTGTATATATTATGTTTAACCTTTTTTTATTCAGCAAATAATTTTTGAGTATCTACTAAGTGCTAGGTTCTGCATTACTAACTGAATTTAAAGAGTGAAATAACAGACATGGTCTCAGACAATAAAAATTAACATTAGGTCACCTATTTATATATTTTTAAATGGTAATTATGAAAACTTTTTGAGATTTTTAACTAGATAACATTATAATAATACACTTGATGTTGTTAATATTTGCCAGTGAGCAAAAAAGAAAATAAAAAGATGGTTTTATTCAATATACACTTTAAAATTGCAGAAAATAGTCAAGTTTCTCTGCTTTGCAGTTGAATGTCTATGTGTTTTTCTCTGCAACTTGGCTTTTGTGGAGTGAAACAATTATTCTTCCAGCCCAATAAAAGCAGAAGAGTAACAATAAATCTGATATTTTAAATGCTTATCAAAAGATAGTAGACATATTATTTCAGAATACTGAGTTCAATAAGTTGACCTACAAAAAAAGCCAAACTGACAGTATTACTGAATAAGGAAAGGCCCAAAGAGACAAAATATTTTTTATTTTGTAACCTCGGTATGACACAACTTACCCTAACTATAAAGACCCTAAATGACCAAGATGGGTGCTTATAATATGGAGAGTAAAAAAGTCATTTCACTTTTAGCTTTTTTATTTCTCTCAGAATAAAAAGTGTATAAGGAGTTGATAAAGAAGTTGATACTATAAGTTAGTACTACAATGACAGCACTTTTCAAGAAAAGACTTTTTTCTCTCTTACAAATATCATGTTAGCAGTATTTGTTTTCTCCAGAAATAATGAGGAAATAAAAACATAAGTATGTGGGTAATTAGTTAGTTTCTTAAAGAAATGAGTTATGCAACAGGCTAATAATGTATACTTCACTGGCTTTTGAATGCCAACAATCATATTCTTTATAAAGCACAGAGAAGATTTTTCTAAAGAATAAGTATGTGAACCTGAAAAGTAATCACCACTTGGTAGTGACAATATGGATAGGGTGAAGGGTGTCATCAAGAAGCAATGAAAAGATACATTTGCAGTTAAATTTGAAAACCATGATGTTTAATACATATAGTAATAAAGAATACTTTCTCCTGTTTCAAAATCATTTTAGAATTTAAGATAGAAGCTAAAATACCTAGGGATAATGATATGACTATCAAAAATTAAAAATTAAAGGACATTTTGAGTATTATAAGTTAAGAATGAGAACTTATTACCCAATGAACAGGGGATAATTCATTATGCTCCATATCCATTGAATTAAAAGACAGGCCCATTACGTGGATAATTTGAAAGTTTAATTTTATTTAAAAGTCTTGTTTCATTCATCAAGCAAAATGATTAGCTCCCAGAAATATTCTAGGATTGCATATCCCCAACTCTGTAGGAAGTATAGAAAGAATGTTATAAGGGCCACCATCTAAACATTATTATGTAAATAATTTAGTACCATTCCATTTGCCTTTGTAGATTTAAAAATGTAAATGGCTTTCTCATATTAGGAAACATCACTTTTCAAAACCCAGATAAACATAGTACATTGCAAGAGAATAATTATTTTCTTTATTAAAAAAGAAATACTGGATGCTAAGTCCAAAAGACATAAATTATTTTATACTAATAACTACTAACATTTTATTCATGAAAATATAAAGGTCAAAGATTTTAAAATGATCTTTAAATGATTAATAACATGTTGATCTTTTTCTTCTTTCTGTAAACCTTTTTGAGTCTTAAAAATACTAAACTATACAAGCAATATTAAATGGTATATAAACTTGGATTAAAATATTCAAATTTACTAGAATGTAGACATTGGAAAGAATGAAAATAAACAGAAGCATAAAGCAGCAGCTATAAAATTAAGAAAGCAACTAAGAGTGTTTAAAGTACATATTCATCTGTAGTCTAATGTCTACCATAAAAAATGACTCTTCTCAGTAAAACACAAATTGTTCATGAAGGGAAAAAGCATGTTGTATTAGAGAATATTCAACATAATTTCTTTAGTACTAACTTGTGCCTGGAGTATTATTGGTTTTTCTATTATGAACTTATGCACTTGATAATTTTTTTCATAAAAATTGTATGTACAACTCTGACTGTACTAAAAATACAAAAATTAGCCAGGCATGGTGGTATGCACCTGTAGTCCTAGCTACCTGGAGGGCTGAGACAGGAGAATCGCTTGAACCTGGGAGGTGGAGGTCGCAGTGAACCGAGATCATGCCACCTCACTCCAGCATCAGTAACAGAATGAGATTCCATCTCAAAAAAAGAAAAGAGTGTAATATCGGTATACACAGGTAATATACTGAATGAAACAAATAGAATAATTTGAAGAGGTATCTTGATGAACAAGGAGTCATTAGAAAGGTTGTATTCATGTCTTTGAAGGAAATTGCAATGTGAGAAATTAATACTTTGACTACTATACTAAAAGTTTATTGCTAACATGTATTGAGTTATTAACGTGTGTTAGGCAGAGTACCATATAATTTACAAGTGTTATCTCATTTATTGTAGGTAAAATGTAATTTCGAACTCTGGGAGTATAAATGAATTAGATAGAATAAAATTCTATTTAAATGGCCATCAGTAAATCGGTATCTAGGAACAGGGTGATACAGTGCCCAAGTTTTCTATTCTTACTAAATGTTGTGTTTCATTTTCAATGTTTTCTTGGATATTGCTCTTTTTTGGTGATTTTGATTTTTTTTATTTTAGAAAACTAATAAATTGACTCTTCTTGGTACTGACTCGGGTTTTATAGAAGAAGAAGTAATTAAATTCTGTACATTTACCTTTACCTCATTTTTTGTCTTTTAAATTTATTTTAATTGACATATAATAAATGTACATGTTATGGGGTACAGCGTGATATTTTGATATATTTATGCAATGTGTAAAGATCAAGTCAGAGTCATTATCATATCCATTACCTAAATCATGTATTACTTCTTTGCAGTGAGAATATTCAAAATCTTTTATTTTAGTTATTTGAAAACACACAATAAATTCCCGTTAACTACAGTCACCCAACAGTGCTGTAGAGAACTAGAACTTCTTCCTTCTCTCTAGCTGTAATTTTGTATGTATTAACCACAGTTTTCTTATACTCTTCTTTCTCCTACTCTTTCCAGGATATGGTAACCAAAACTCTACTATCTACTTCTATGAGATTAAAAATTTTAGCTTCCATACATAAGTGAGAACATGTAGTTATGTGGTGTTTATGTTTCTATGCCAGGCTTATTTCACCTAACATAATGCCCTCCACTTGCATTCTTGTTGCCACAAATAACAGGATTTTGTTCTTTATTATGACTAAATAATATTCCATTATATATGTATGTCACATTTCTTTATCCATTCATCTGTTGATGGACACTTTTGTTGATTCCATATCTTGGCTATTGTGAATAGTGCTGTAATAAACATGGGGGTGCAGGTAACTCTTTGATATACTGATTTTCTTTCCTTTGGATATATACTGAAAACCATATGATTAAATTAATAAACACAATAAAAGCGTTTGGCAAAATTAAATATTCTTACATGACAAAAAACCTCTCAACAATTTAGTATAGAAAATATATGCCTTAACACAGAAGGACATAAAGGACAAATCTACAACTAAGATCATACTGAGTGTGGAAAAGGTGAAAGATTTTACTGTGAACAAGAAAAAGATTTTACTGGAACAAGAAAAGGATGCCTATTCTCACCAATCATATTTCACATAGTGAAAGTCTTAACCAGGACAATTAGGTGAGAGAAAGAAATAAAGGACATCTGAATTGGAAAGGAGACAGTCAAATTGTCCCTGTTTAAAGACAATGTGATCTTATACACGGAAAAAAATAAGACTCTACCAAAAGCTTCTTAGGGTGATACATGAAATTAATAAAGTTGCAGGATATAAATCAACATACAAAAATCAGTAGCATTTCTATATATTGATAGTAAACTAGCTGAAACAAGAAATTAAGAAAGCAATTCCTTTTACAATAGCTACAAAAATGTACTTAGAAATAAATTTAACCAAGGAAGTAAAAGATTTTGACAACAAAAATGACAGGTATTAATGAAAGAAATTAAAGAAAACACAAAAAAGGAAAGACATCCATGTTTACAGATTGAAATAACTAATATTCTTAAAATGACCCACTATCCTATGTGATTTACAAATTTGGTACAATCACTAGCTTGTATTTTTAAAAGCACCTTTGCTGCATATTCTTAAGACATTCAACAATGCCTGGATTTAAGTTTGAGGTATTATTATATCTATTTTATACTGGGCACAATATAATGTTATCAGAGGTAACGGTTTTGATTGGTCCTAGGTCATACAGTAATATATACATTGTGATTTATAGACATGCTATCTTTTAATACTCAGGCATTTAGAAAGTTCATTTAGAAAAAGTTATAAAAACTTGCCTTCCTTTCTGACTATATCACCTAAAAATCCTAATTTAAGAGGTAATAACATTTTTTATTTGATATACAATTTATCAACACAATAAAAATCTAACAATTATCATGTGCAGAGTGTGAAAATCTCATCAGATTAAGGAACACAAAGACATCTTTTTCATATTTCGAATGTAAAACTGTTTTGGAAACTGTTATTTTTAGAAACAGTTAAAAACATTTTTTCATTAGTTTTTCATGTAAAATTATGACAACCAGCATGAAATAACTGTCATCACAGAAGCATGGTATATTCGATTCCAAAACATATTCTTTGTAAGTTTTAATATATTTATGTATTATTTATACTTAGATTGTAACCCATAATGTTACAATTTATGTTACAATATTGTTTTTCCTTCAACTCTTAAGAATATTCTTAAATAATAAAATTAAAATTAATGAATTATAATTTTTGTTGCTTGGGAAAAAGAGTAGACACACACGTGACAGTGCATCACTTCACCCCATCATTTCATCTCATCATTTCATCTCATTTCATCTCATCATTTTATCCCATCATTTCATCTCATTCCATCTCACCTCATCATTTTATATCATCTCATCATTTCATCTCACCATTTCATCAAATCTCATCTCATCTCATTTCCATTTCATTTTCATTATTTCATTTCACTATTTCATTTCATCTAATTTCATTTATTTCATTTTGTCATTTCATATAATCTCATTTCGTTTCATCTCATATTTTTGATATCATTTTTCATATCATTTTTCATCTCATTTCATCTCAATTCATTTCATCTCATCATTTCATCTCCTCATCTCATCATTTCCTCCTTTCATTACATTTCATCTCATTTCTTCTCATCTCATTTCAATTTCATTTCATTATTTCATCTCATTTCATTATTTCACCTAATTTCATTATTTCATCTCATCTCATCTCAATTCATCTCATCTCATTTCATCTCATCATTTCATCTCATCATTTCTCATCTCATCATTTTTCATCTCATCATTGAATCTCATTTCATTTCATTTCATCATTTCAGCTCATCATTTCATGTCACATCTATTCATTTCATCATTTCATTTCAACATTTCATCTCATCATTTCATCTCATCTTTCAATTTCATTTCAATATCATCATTTCATCATTTCATTTCATCTCATTTCATTATTTCATTATTTCATTTCATTTCAAATTCATCTCATCATTTCATCTCATCTCATCATTTTTCATCTCATCATTTCATCTCATCATTTTTCATCTCATCATTTTTCATCTCATCATCTCATCTCATCATTTCATCTCATTTCTTCTCATTTCATCTCATTTTATCTCATTTCATCTCATCTCATTTCAATTTCATTATTTCATTTCATTTCACTACATTTCATCTCATCATTTTATCTCATCTCATTTCATCTCATCATTTCTTCTCGTCTCATCTCATCATTTCATCATTTCATCTCGTTTCATCTCATTTCATCTCATCTCATCTCATCTCATCATTTCATCTCATCCTTTCATTTCATCTCATCGTTTCATCTCATTTCATCTCATCTCACCTCAGCATTTCATCATTTCATCTCATCATTTCTTATTTCATCTCATTTTATCTCATTTCATCTCATATCTCAATTCAATTTCCTTTCATTATTTCATCTCATTCATCTCATTTCATTACATCTCATCATTTCCTCTCATCATTACATCTCATCTCATCTCATCATTTCATCATTTCATCTCATCATTGCATCTCATCATTTCATCTCATTTCATCTCATCATTCATCTCATCATTTCATCTCATCTCATCATTTCCATTTCATTATTTCATCATTTAATTTCATCATCTCATTTAATTTCACCTCATTTCATTTCATTTTTTCATTTCATTATGTCATTTCATTTCATCTCATTACATTTCATCTAATTTCATTTCATCTCATTTCATCTCATCATTTCATTTCATCTCATCATTTCATCTCATCTTTTCATCTCATCATTTCATCTCATCATCTCATCAACTATTTTCAACTTATCTCATCATTTCATCATTTCATCTCATCATTTCATCTCATCTCGTATCTTCTCATCTCATTTCAATTTCATTTCATTATTTCATTTCATTATTGCATGTCATCTCATCTCATCATTTCATCTCATCACATCTCATCATTTTATCATTTTATTTCATCATCTCATCTTATCATTTCATCTCATCTCATTTCAATTTTATTTATTTATTTCAATTTCATTTCATTATTTCATTTCATTTCATCTCATCAGTTCATCTCATCATTTCATCTCATCATCTCATCTCATCTCATCATTTCATCTCATCATTCATCTCATCATTTCATATCATTTTATCTCATCTCATCATTTCATCTCATTTCATCTCATCTCATTTCATCATTACATCTCATTTCATCTCATTTTATGTCATCATTTCATGTCATCATTTCATCACATCTCATCTCATCATTTCATCATTTCATCTCATTTCAACTCATTGCATCTCATCTCATCATCTCCATTTCATTATTCCATTTCATCATTTCATTTAATTATGTCATTTCATCTCATCATATTTCATCTCATTTCATCTCATCTCATCATTTCATTTCATCTCATCATTTCATCTCATTTTATCTCATCTCATCATTTCATCATTTCATCTCATCATTTCTTCTCATCTCATCATTTCCATTTCATTTTCATTATTTCATCGTTTCATTATTTCATTTCATCTCATTTCATTATTTCGTTTCATTATGTCATTACATTTCATCTCATTTCATCTCATCATTTCATCCATCATTTCATTTCATTTCATCATTTCATCTCATGATTTCATCTTATCTCATCATCTCATTTCATCTCATTATTTCATCTCATTTCATCTCATCTCATTTCATCATTTCATTTCATCATTACATCTCATCATTTCAACTCATCTTATTTCAATTTCATTACATTTCATAATTTCCTTTCATTATTTCATTTCATTTCATCTCATTTCATTATTTCATTTCATTATTTCATTTCATTTCATCTCATTTTTCATCTCATCATTTTTCATCTCATTTCATCTCATCATTCATCTCATTTCATCTCATCATTTTATCTCATTATTTCATCTCATCTCATCTCATTTCAATTTCATTATTTCATATCATTTCATTATTTCATTTCATTTCATCTCATCATTTCATCTCATTTCATCTCATCATTTCATCTATCATCTCATCATTTCATCTCATTTCATCTCATCTCATCTCCTTTCAATTTCTTTTCAACTTTGTCATTTCGTCTCATCATTTCATCTCATCATTTCTACTCACCATTTCATCTCAAAATTTCATCTCATCATCTCATCTCATCTCATCACTTTGTCATTTCATCTCATCTCAAGTCATCTTATCATTTCATCTAAGTGAAATGATGGAATCATGAAATGAAATGGATAGGATGCCCTCAGTGATGTTAAATTTAAAAATTGTTTCTTTTCATGTATGCATTTTTATATTTATATGTATTTATATTTATATTTACTTATATTTCTTTTTACTTATTTTTATTTATGTTTTTACTTATTTCTTTATTTATAGACAAGGTCCTGTTCTGTGGCCTAGGCTGGAATGCAGTGGTGCATTCACAGTTCACTGCAGCCTCAAGCAAACCTCCCACCTTAGCCTCCCAGGTAGCTGGGACCCCAGGTGGGCACCACCACACCTGGTTAATATTTTATTATTTGTAGAGATGGAGTCTTGCTATTCTGCCCAGGCTGGTCTCAAACTCCTGGGCTCAAGCAATCCTCCTGCATTGGCAACCCAAAATGCTGGGATGACAGATGTGAGCCACAGTGCCCAACCTATTTATTTATTTATTTATTTATTTATTTATTTAATGAGGACAAGGTCTCACTATGTTGCCCAGGCTGGTCAACTCCTGGACTCAAATGATTCTCCAAACTTGGCCTCTCAAAATGTTGGGATTACAGGTATGAGCCACCATGCCTGGCCTAAAAATAGTATTATATTTTTGTATCATATAATTTTCAATTAGGTAATATGAATATTCTGTACAGGAAATACGCCCTTAATTACATAGGAATAAACATTTGTTACACTGAGAAAAATCTAATAGAGCTAAAAATAAAAATTAATTTGGAAAGGTCATTAGATACTCATACATTCTTACGTTTATACATTCTTTCATATATTCATATATTCTTTTAACAGTATCAATGGTTTGGAGTTATGTGTACAAAACCATGACCTATATGTAATACAACTAATAACAAGCACTTACAATTCAAGGCATATTATATACAAAGCTTTAACTTCCTATCAAAATATTTTGGTTTTTTTCTTTCTGTTTTGGCAGATACTATGAACACAACATTCAACTCACAGACACTATGGAGCCCTTACTAAGCATAAAGTACTGTGAAAGGCCAGGGCTAGGAGAGAACTGAGACAGGGCCAGGGATAGGACAGAACTGGGGCAGGGTCATGGCCAGAGAAAAACCAGGGGCAGGGTCATAGCCAGGGACATGAGAGGACCAAGGCCAGGGCCAGAAGCAGGGCAGAACCAGGGCCAGGGCAGGGACATGGCAGGGCCAGGGCCATGGCAGGATCAGGGTCAGCAGAAGGCCAGGGCAGGGCTAGGGTAGCACAGGGCCAAGGCAGGACAGGGTCAGTGTAGAGCAAGAATGGGCCAGAGTATGGCAGGGCAGGGACAGGGAGGTCCAGGGCCAGAGTCAGGTCCAGGACATGGACAGGGCAGGGCCAGAAACATGGCAGGACAAGAAAGGGGACAGGGCAAGGGCAAGGCCAGAGAAGGACCATGGAAAAAACACGGCCAGGGAGGGTCCAGGGTAAGGGCAAGGCCAGGGCAGAACCAGAGCCAGAGCAGGCCAAAGGCAGGGCCAGGGCAGGGCAAAGCCAGGGTAGGCCAGGGCCAGTGTAGGGTGAGGGTAGGGCCAGGGCGAGTTCAGGGCCAGGGCAGGACTAAGATAGCACAGGGCCAAGGCAGGGCCAGGGCAGGGCCAAAAGGAGGGGCCAGGGCCAAGCATAGCCAGTGTCAGACCTGGGGATTGTCAGGGCCAGGGTCAGGGTCAAGGCTGGGCCAGGGACAGGGCCAGAGCAAGGACAGGGCCAGGGAGAAGGCAGAACCAGAGAGGATCCAGAGCAAGGCCAGGGTCAGGGCAGAACCAGGACCAGGATAAGGCAAAGCCAAGGCCAGGGCAGGGCAAGGCCAGGGAGAAGGCAGGGCCGGGGCAAGGCAGTACCAGGGCAGGGCAGGACCAGTGCAGGGCCAATGCAGGGTGAGGGCAAGGCCAGGGCATGGAAGGGCAGGGCAGGACCAAGGAAGGGCCAGGAGAGGGCCACGGCAGGGTCACGGCCAGAACAAGGGTATGGCTGGGGTCAGGAATATGGTAGGATGAGGGCTGGGCCCAGGCTGGGACATGCAGGGCAGAGCATGGCCTGTGCAAGGCATGGCCAGAGCCAGGCCATAGATATGGGAGGGCAACACCAAGGCAGAGTCAGGGTAGATCCAGGGCTGAGCAGAGTCAGGGCAGGTCCAGAGTCGAGGCAGAGCTAGGGCCCAAGCAGGGCCATGGTAGCACCAGGGCAGACGAGGGCAGGGCAATGGAGGACTGTGCCATGGCAGTGCCTGGTCAACTCCGGGGCAGGGCCAGAAGCAGGACAGGGACAGGGCCAATGCTCAGGCCAGGGACAGGGCATGACAGGTCGTGCCAGAGCAGGGCTGGGCCAACGTTGGGGCAGGGCAAATCAGACCAGGACACCTCCAAGTCCAGCTCTGGCCCTGCCTTGGCCCTGGCCCCTTCCTGGCCTGACCTTGTCCCTGGCCCTGCCCTATCCATGCCCTGTGTGTTTGACCAGTGTTTTATAACCAGAATCCTACAAGAAACTTAAATTAGTTCTTTTTGTGCATTTTTAGTAGAGATGGGGTTTCACAATGTTGCCCAGGCTGGTTCCAAACTCCTGAGCTCAAGCCATCTGCCTGCCTTGGCCTCCCAAAGTGTTGGGATTACAGGAGTAATCTGGCCAAGTATTTAACTTCTTTATGCCTGTTTCCTATATTTGGAAAATGGGGATGCTTTAAGTACCTAGCACATAGAATTATTGTGAGAATCAATGCCTCACATATTTACATATTGATAAAATTATATTATATTCATAGAACACTACTGGAAGCAAAGATAGTATTAGTTAAAATTTAGTGATTACTGCAAATATTATTACTATTACAAACAATATAGTATAGACATTACTACTAATATAGTTATCTTAAAAATCTAAAATAAAAATTTTATGTAATAGCCTAATGCAATCTCTCCTGCTCTGCCCTGGTTCAGCCCTAGTGCCGGCTCTGCCGCTAGTCCTACTACATCCCTGGCCCTGATCCTTCCCTGGTCCAGCCGCTGCCCTGGCCCTTCCCATCTTCAGGCCTTACCATGGCCCTACCCTGGTCCTGACCCTGCCCTGGTCTGGTCCTGACCCTGGCCCTACCCCAGAGAAGGGGTATGGCAGAGCCAGGGAAGGGCCGGGGCAAATAAGGGACAGGACACATCCAAATCCAGGAAAGGGCCAGGGCCATGACAGAGCCAGGGCGAGTCCTTGGCAGGGCCAGGTTCCAGGCCAGGGCCAGGAAAGGGTCATGACAGGGTCACTGTATGGCCAAGGTCCAGGCCAAAGCCAAGGCAGTGGCAGGGTCAGGTCTGCATAAGGGCAGGACGAGAGCAAGTGATATGGCAGGGCCAGGGCCAGGGCTGTGCCAGGACAGAACAAGAGCAGAGCAGGGCAGGACCAGAGCCAGGCCACAGAGAGAGTAGGGCAAATGCCAAGGCAAGGCCAGGGTAGTGCCAGGTCTGAGGCGAGGTCAGGGAAGGTCCAGGGCTGAGTCAAGGCTAGAACCAAGACGGGGCAAAGGCCGGGGCAGATCTAGGGCACAAGCGGGGCAGATCTAGGGCACAAGCATGGCAGGCTAGGGCAGGGCAATGGCAAGACCAGGTCATGGCAGGGCCAGCCCAGGATAGAACAGGGCACAGGCAGGGCAGGGCCAGGGCCATGGCTGGGGCAGGACAAGGACCAGGACCGGGGTCCAGGCCAGGGCAAGGGTATGGCCAGGGCAGAGGTAGGGCCAGAGCCAGGGTCTGGGCAGGACCAAGGCAGGTCTATTGCAGGGCCAGGGTTCAGACCAGGGCCAGAGCAGGGCTGGGACAGGGCCAGGGCCAGAACCAGGAAAGGGCAATGTCAGAACAAGGGCCATGGCAGGACCAGCAATGGGGCTGGGGCCAGGACAGGGACAGGGACAGGGTCAGGGATAGGGCCAGAATAGCATGCCAAGGTAGAGCCAGGCCAAATTAGGGCCAGGACAGGGTCAGGACCAGGGCTGGACCAGGGTATGGCCTTAAGTAGCGAACGGCCAGGGCCAGGGTCCATGCCAGTGCCAGCGCCGGTCCAGGGCAGAGGCAGGGCCATGGCCAGGTCAAGGACAAGGCTGGGGCAGGGCCAAGGTCTGGGTCAGGGTAAGCACAAGACCAGGACAGAGCCAGGGGAGGGACAGGGCCATGGTAGGGCCAGGTTAAATCAGGGACAAGACACCTGCAAATCCACTTCAGGGCCAGGTCAGGGCAGGGCCAGTTCAGGGCCAGGGCCAAGACAGGGCCAGGGTCATGGCTGCCAGGGTCATTGGCAGGGCCAGGGCCATGGCAGGACCAGGGTCAGGAGCAGGGGTCAATGCCAGGCCAAGGCCACACATAGGACCAGGTCTGTGCTAGGGCCAGTGTGAGGGCCAAGGCAGGGTCAGGGCAGGGACAAAGGGAGGGCAGGGCCAGGGCAGGGTGGAGCAGGCCCAGGGTTGCACAGGGTTAAGGTAGGGCATGACCAACCAGGGCAGGTCTATGGCTGGGGCCGGGGCAGGGCCAGAGCCAGGGCAGGGCCAAGACAGTGGCAGCTCCAGGGCAGGGCCAGGGTTAGGACCACGGACATGTCCAAGGCCAGTGCCAGGGCAAGGGCAAGGGCAGGGGCAGGGCCAGGTTCATCTAAGAACCAGGGACAAAGCCAGGCCCAGAGCTGGGCCAGGACAGGTACCTGGCAGGGCTAGGGTCTGGGACAGGGCCATGGCAGGGCCAGGGCCACAACCAGGTCTGTGCTATGGCCAGGTCCAACACAGTGCCCAGGTAAGGCTAGGGTGAATGCCAAGGTAGGGCCAGGGCAGGGTCAAAGCTAGGCTAGGGCCAAGGCAGGGCCAGGGCCGGCAAGGCAGGGCCAGGAAAGCATAGGGCCAAGGCAGGGCAGGGCCAGGCCAGTGCCAAGACCTGGGCAGGGCCAGGGCCAGGACAGGTCCAGGGCAGGGCCATGACAGGGCCAGGGGCTGCGTTAGGGCAAGGGCAGGGCCAGGGCAAGGTAAGGGTCAGGGCCAAGGCCAGGGTAGGGACAGGGCAAGAAATATGGCAGGACCAGGGGCAATGCCACGGCCAAGGCTGGGCCAGGGCTGAGCCAGGGCTGAGTCAGGGCAGGGCAGGGCAGGGCATGGTATGGCCAGTACAGGACAGGACAAGAGCTGGTCCACACAGAGAGCAGAGCTGATGCCAAAGAAGAGCCAGGCTAGTGCCGAGGCTGAGGCAGTGTCAGAGCATGTCCAGGGCAGGGCCAGGGCCAGGGCCAGAACCGAGCCAGGGCACAGCCAAGGCAGGGTAGGGCAGGGAAATAGCATGGCCAGGTCAGTACTGGGACAGGGCAGAGCAGGGCAAGGCGATGGTAGTGGCAGGGCAGGGACAGGCCAATGCAGAGCCATGTTACGCCGGGGCCAGAACACCTCCAAGTTCACTTCAGGGCCAGGGCTATGGCAGGACAAAGACCAGGGCCAGGATCAGGGCCAGGTCTGTGCTAGGGCCAGCTCCAGAGCAGGGTCTAGCGAAGACTAGGGTGAGGGCCAAGGTAAGGCCAGGGCAGGGTCAAAGGCAGAGTAGGGCCAGGGCAGGGTGATGACACATCCAGAGCACAGCAGGGCAGGGTAATGGCAAGACCAGGGGCAGACCACTGCCAGCTCAGGGCCAGGGAAAGGCCAGTGCAGAGCCAGGAAAGGGTCTGGGTCTGGGTCAGGGCCAGGAACAAGGCAGAGCAGGGCCAGGGCCATGGCAGAGTCAGGGCAGGTCCTTGACAGGACCAGGTTCCAGGCCAGGGCCAGGGCAGCAGCAGGGGCAGGGCCTGGATAAGGGCAGGGCCAGGGATATGGCAGGACCAGGGCTAGGGCCAGGGCCAGGCCATAGTGAGGGCACGGCAAAAGCCAAGGCAGGGTCAAGGCAGGTCCAGGGCAGGTCCAGGGAGCGGCCAGCACCAAGCAGGGCCAAGGCACAAGCAGCTCAGGGTAAGGCAGGGCAATGGCACCACTGGGCCATGACAGGGCAAGGTCAGTGCCAGGAGAGGGCAGAACAGGCAGGCCCATGGTGGGGCCAGGGCAGGGATGGGCCAAAGCAGGGCCAGGACATATCCAAGGCCAGGTCAGGGCCAGAACAAGAGCAGGACCATGACCATTGGCAGGGCCAGTGCCATGACAGGACCAGGGTCAGGACAAGGGGCAGGGCCAGAGCCAAGGTCAGGCCAGTGCAGGTTCACGGCAGGGCCAGTGCCAGGGCAAGACCAGGGAAGGGACAGGGTAGCACAGGGCCAAGACAGGGTCAGGATGGGACCAGAGCAGGACAGGGCCGAGAGTCCAGGTAACAGTAGGGCAGGTACAGGGCAAGGCAGGGCAGTACAGGGCCAGATCCACGGCAGGCGCAGGGCAAAGCCAGGCCCATTGCCAATGCACCAGCCCTCCCTACAAGGCTCCTACCACCTGGTCACTGCTGCAGCCCGTCCATTGCTGTAAGCCTGACCCTGGCTGCAGCCGCCTGCCCTCCTAGCGTGGTCGCTCTCCTACCGCTCTGGTGCACTGCAGTCTCCGTCACTGCCACCCACCTGTAGCGAGGCGAGCCGTGGTGTCGCAGGCTCTAGGTGTCTCCTCCTCCTCCTGGCATGGAGCAGCTGGGCGGGCAAAGCCAGAAAAGCCTAGAGGAAGATGTGAGGGGTGGAAGGGTTAGAGCCTCACCTTGTCATGCCGGCCACTGGGTGGCAGGGGCCAGTTTCAGCAAAGGCACTCACACCCACCCTCCAAAGTCCAGCCTCTCCTTTTGGCCCAAGCTGGCCGGGAACTGAGGTCTGGGGTGGGTGCTGGAGACACCACAGCACGCAGCTCCCCACTCCACAGGAACCATTGGGCCCACTGGGGCTGCACTCCTTGGGGAGCAGGAGAAGCAGAAAAATTCAGACCCAGCCAGCCCTCTGCACCCAGGTGCCAATTCCTGTTCCGGACGCTTCCACGCACAGGGCCCTGTCCCCCGTGGTGTCCCCAGGGGTGCCTGGCAGCCTCTGAGGCACAGACCCAGAGTGCACAGGCCCAGGAACCACGGTGGGTGTGGGGGCTCTGCCATGCTCAGGATTCCCATGCAAACGCTGCGTGCCCTGCCGCATTCCAGTATGACCAAGAGTGGGTCGCCCTCTGGAGTGTGGAGTCAGGGAGAGGAGAACCACTCCTTCCTTGGATGCCAACTCTGTTGACCGCCACCAGCAGTGCAGCCTGATAGCACCGAACTCGTCCCCCACTCCACGGCTAGTCCTGCCCTCAATAGCACCCCCCACCTCTGTCCCCCAATGCCGCCAGTAGCGTATACCCGATAGTGCCCTAACCTGTTCTCCTCCATGGGCATTGCAGCCCCAGAAAGCACCCATAACCCACCTTCCCTGCCGTGGGCAGTGCAGCCCTGTACAGTGCTACCAACTAGTACCCCTAATGCAGGCAATGACACCCTGGATAGCGCCCCCAACCCACCCCACACTGCGAAAGGTGCAGCCCTGGATAGCCCCTGTCCTACCACTCTGGTCATGCTGCAGTCTCTGTCACCGCCACCACCAACCACAGTGAGGCAAGCCAGTGGGCCGCAGACTCTAGCACCCAGCAGCCAGGCATGGAGCAGCTCTCGCTGATGGCCGGCTCCTACCACTCTGACCACGCTGCTGTCTGTCTCTGTGGCCATCTTCTTTCACTACAAAGGAATAAAAATAGGTATCAATAAGAAAAGTAATTTTGGAAATAATACAATCACATGGAAGTTAAACACTACCCTCCTGAATAAATGACTAGCGGGTCAATGAAGATACTAAGACAGAAATTCAAAAATTTCATGAAACAAAGGGTAATGAACACACAGTATACCAAAACTTGTTATGCAGAAAGCAGTACAAAGGCAGAGATTTACAGCTATAAGTGCCTACCATCCAAACAAAAGAAAAACTTCAAGTAAACAATACATCTTAAAGAACTAGTAAAGAACAAACTAAACCGAAAATAAGAAAATAAATAAGATCGTAGCAGAAACAAAATTGAAATAAAAACCTCACAAGATTAAACGAAAAGTTGGTTTTCTGGAAAGCTAAACAAAATTGACAAACTTTTAACCAGGCTAAGTAAAGAGACAAGATTCAAATAAATAAAATCAACAGATTAAAAAAAGGAGACATTACAACTAATACTTCAGAAATTCAAAGGATCATAACTGGCTATTATATGCCAATAAATTGGAAAGCCTAGTAGAAATTGGCAAATTCCTAGATGCATACAACCTACTTAGGTTAAACAACGAAAACATCCAAGACCAGAACAGATTGGTAACAAGTAATGAGATTGAAGCCATCAGAAAAAGTCTCCCAGTAAAGAAAAGCCCAGGAACTGATGTCTTCACTGCTGATGGCTTCACACCAAACAATTTAAAGACCTAGTACAAATCCTGCTCAAACTATTTTGAAAAACAGGAGGGAATACTTCCAAACTTATTCTATGAGACCATTATTACTGTGATACCAAAATCAGACAAAAGCATCAAAGAAGGAAACTACAGGCCAGGATCTCTAATATTGATGCAAAAATCCTCAACAAAATACCACTGAATCAAATTCAGTAATACATTAAAAAGATAATTCATCATGATCAAGTGCAATGTATCCCTGGGATCAAGGGTCACTCAACATACAATGTGATACATCATATCAACCAAATAAACGACAAAAACAGTATCATCACGTCAACTGAAACCGAAAAAGCATTTGATGAAATTCAACATCCCTTCATGCTATAAATCCTCAAAGAAACGGGCACAGAAGAAACATACCGCAACATAATAAAAACTACAGGAAAGACACCCACAGCTAGAATCATATGGAATGGGGAAAAATGGAAAGCTTTTCCTCTAAGATCTGGAACATGATAAGGATGCCCCCTGTCACCACTGTTGTTTAACATAGTACCAGAAATCCTAGCTAAAGCAATCAGTGCAGCCCCTGATATGGCCCCCAACCCACCCTGCCCCCTACCACCAGCAGTGTCACCCCCCCCCAATAGCACACCCAACGTAGGCAAACCGCCCCGCCTCCCTGCACCATGGGCATTACAGCACCCCATAGCGCCCTCAACCCGAAACCGCCACACCACCCCCCACAGCCGCACAGTGCAGCCCTGGATAGCACACTTAGCCCACCTCACTGTTGCCAGCAATACAGTCTGGGATAGTGCCCCCAACCGGCTCCCCGCCAAAGGCAGTGCAGCCCCGGTTTGGGCCCCCAAACCACCCCCCGGTGCAGGCAGCACAGCCCCAGATAGCACACCCAACCAGCCACCCAAGACGGGCAGTGACGCCTGAGATAGGGCTCCCAACCCGTCCCAGGCCACCCGCAGTGCAGCCTGGATAGTGCACTTACCCCGATGCCTTTCTACGCTCTGGCTGGCTGCAGTGTCCATCGCTGCCACCAACCACAAACAGGGCTGCAAACAGGAAGGATTTTATTCACCGTCGATGCGGCCCCGAGTTGTCCCAAAGCGAGGCAGTGCCCCAAGGTCTGTGCAGAGCAGAACGCAGCTCCGCCCTCGCGGTGCCACCGGCCCGCCCGCCCGCCCGGGTCTGTGCTGAGGTGAACACTGCTCCGCCTTCGCTGTATCTCCGAAGTCTGTGCTGAGGAGAACGCAGCTCCGCCCTCGCAAAGGCACACAGCGCCGGCGCGGGCGTGGCGGAGAGGCGGACAGCAGCGGCACGGCGGAGAGGCAGACAGCGACGGAGAGGCGGACAGCGGCGCAGAGGCGGACAGCGGCGGCACGGCGGAGGGGCGGACAGCGGCGGAGAGGCGGACAGCGGCGGCGCGGCGGACAGCGGCGGCGCGGCGGAGAGGCGGACAGCGGCGGAGAGGCGGACAGCGGCGGCGCGGCGGAGAGGCGGACAGCGGCGGAGAGGCGGACAGCGGCGCAGAGGCGGACAGCGGCGGCACGGCGGAGGGGCGGACAGCGGCGGAGGGGCGGACAGCGGCGGCGCGGCGGAGAGGCGGACAGCGGCGGCGCGGCGGAGAGGCGGACAGCGGCGGAGAGGCGCACAGTGCCGGCGCTGGCGCGGAGAGGCGCAGGCCCAGGCTCCACTCCCCAGCTGTGAAAGGGTAAGAACTGAGGGTGGCTGAGACTCGGGGTTGTTCAGGGCGGGGTGGGCTCTGGACCCAGCAGGCCTGGCACCCAGGTCAGGGCTCCAGGGGAGGCCAGGTGGGCGAAGGCCAAGAAGGGGCTGGGGCTGGTCAGGAAGGGCTCCTGGTGACCAGAGCACTTTGCGTGAGCCAGCGTGGGAGGAAGGTGGGCTGGATGAGCCAGGGAGGCGCCGGGAGGGGCCTTGGCAGAGGCGACCCCCTCCGTCAGCCCCCAGGCCACTGAACCCTGGGTAGCGAGAACCGACAGGGGAGACTGCAGACAGAGGAGTGGAGGCTCCCCGGCTTTGGGGGCTCTGAGTGGAAGCATCTAGGGGGTCCCTCAAGAGGCCCCCAAACGCTTCCCCATGGTGAAAAAAGAAGGCGCAGAGAGGGGCACGGCGCCGGCGCCGACACAGAGGGGCGCACAGTGAGATTTGCTGTGATTTCTTTTATTGCCCCAAATGTACTTCATCTTGGTAGATTTCTATTGGCTTTAAAAATGTGTGTGTTTTGCTGTTGGGGAGTGGGGTATTATACGGATGTCAGATTTTGCTGGTTGACTGTTCAGATCTTTTGTAAATCCTTGCTCCTTTTCTGCCTAGTTTCACTCTGTCACTTACACTAGAGTGCGGTGGCACGAACATGACTCACTGCAGCCTTGACTTCCTAGGGTCAAGTACTTCCCCTGGCTTAACCTCCTGACTAGCTGGTACTATAGGTGTGTGCCGCCACACCTGACTAAATTTAAAATTTTTTGGAGAGATGAGGCCTTGCTATGTTGCCCAGGCTCGAACTCCTGGCCTCAAGCTATCCTTTGTCTTTGCCTCCCAGAGTTCTGGGATTACAGGCATGAGCCACTGTGCCCGGCCTCTGCCTAGTTTTAACAGTTGCTAAGAGGAGGATGTTGAAGTAGATGTCTTCTTGGTGGGTCAATCCTTTTGTCATTAAGCAGTTGTTATGGTCACTTCCTTTTCACCCCATTGGTGAAGGAGGGGTCCCTGCCCTAAAGTGTAGGAGATGGCTGAACACGACACCTGGCGTGGATGGATGAGATTAACAGCAGTGTTTTAGTCACATATACCCACAGCTCAGAGGAGGACACTGCATGCCACACAGGGTCAGATGGGCACCGCACTCTGTAGCGGAGTGAGGGCTGCGGGCTGAGGAAGCAGGCAGGCTTGATAGTAACAAGAGCACACAATGACCAATGGTTCCCGAGGGGGAATGCAATTGGCTTGTTTGAATAAATTCATGGGCTGGCAGACAGGTGAAGTGAAACTTCTTAGGCTGAGGTGCAACTGTTCTGGCTGATAAAAGAACTAGCCAGGTGGGGAGCCTTTCCTGTTGGGTGGCAGGGTAGGGGGTGTCTGGTAGAAACAGGAAAACCCACGGCTAGGCCTTTGGGGCCCTGTGAGGCTCAAAGATGTCAAGGCAGCATAGGAAATTTTAGATCTTAAAATTCAACGAAGACCCTCTCCAGCTCTGGTAAATTATTTTGCTTGAAGTCTACTTCATGAGATATTAATATATTCACTCCTGCTTCCTTAAAAAATTAATGATTTCACAGGATATCTTTCTCCATTCTTTTACTTTCAACCTACTTAGGTCCTTAAGTGAGTTTGAAGTTTCTTATGAACAGTATTTAGTTGGGCCATGTGTTTATTATAGGCTCTCCATCAATCTGTCTTTTGGTTTATTTAGACCATTTACATTTAAGGTGCTTATTGTTACATAATTGCTTATGTCTGATGTTTTTATTATTTGCTTTTTTGTTTCCTTTTTCTTTCCCTCCATCTTGATCTATTTCTGTATAATGTTGTTGCGTGTATCTCTTTGTATAGTCTTAAAGTGTTTGCTCTGGATGTTACAATATGTGTATTGTAATATAGTAGTCTACTGGTACCAGTATTTACCACTTCAAAGTGTGGAAACCTGCCTTGCATTTATGTCTCTTTACCTTTTCCACTTGTATAAATCACTGGCTTGAGTATTAGGTGGTGGTATAGTTTTTGTTTCAGTCGTCAAATGTGATTTTAAGAACTGTGGATTGTCTCGCGTATGTATCCACATTTCTGGTCTTTCCTTTGTCCCTCCTCCCGTAGTCCCATATTCATCCCTTCTGCATAAGAACTTTCTATAGCCATTTTTTATTTTGATTTTTTTGTTTTAATTTTTTGTATTGTGGAAATGACAGAACATATTTCTGTAGCCACTTTTTAGCATGTCTAAATTGACCAGTGACAAATTCCTATATTCTCTTCCTCGGAGAATGTCTTTATTTCTCTCTTCATTTCTGAAGGGTAGTTTCATGGGATATAGAATTTGCAGCGAACAGTTTTTTGTTTGGTTGGTTTTTTTGTTTGGTTGGTTTTTTTTAAGCACTTGAAAATGTTGTGCCACTTCCTTCTGGCCTCCATGGCATTTGAATTGGTGTGTCCCTACAGGCATTCTGCCATTTTTGGTCTTTGTTTTTAGTTTTGAAAGTTTAATCAGTGTTGCTTTCTTTTGGTATACTTTGAGGTTTGCTCAGCTTCTTGAATCTGTAAGTTTATATCTTTCACCAAATGTGGGAAGCCTCAGGAATTAGTTATTTGCATGCTTTCACAGCTCTGGTCTCCTGTGGGACTCAGATAACATAAATGCGTGGTCTTTTGTTATCGTCCCACAGGTCCGTGCAACTCTGTTCATTTGTTTTCAGGTTATTTTCTCTCTATTGTTTAGACCGGGTGAATTCTGTTGATCAGGTTTCAGCTTCTCTGATTCTCTCCTCTGTCGTCTCCACTTTTACTCAATAGAGCCCATCCAGTTAGATTTTTTTAAAATTTCTTTTACTGTATTTTATATTTCTGTAATTTCCATTTGATTCTTCTTCAGTTTCTTTGCTGACGTTTTCAGTTCTTTGATTGTTGCCATAGGATTTGTAGTTGCTTGTTGAAGCATTTTTATACTGGCTGTTACAAGTGATGAGTCAGATGGTTCCAACATCTGCCTATGTAATTTTTTTTATTTTTGCAGGCAGTCCTCCTGTTTAGGTTTAGTCTGTAGGTCTTGGTCTACTTTGTGGGCTGTGATTGCAATGGCAATTTAATTTCAGAGCTTTCATGGTGTTATTTTGGTCTGTTTGGCTTATATGTATCACTGGGATTCTCCCACCAGTCCCTTCTGTTGCCCACCTGAGGGAACAGGGGAGCTGCCCCAGGCTGGGCCACCTGCTGCAGCTAGGTGGGTGGGGAATGGTGGTGGTCTTGGTGTGTGGAGCTGGTTTTCTTGTTGTGGGGAAGATCTCCTTTGATCTGCAGGGACTGAGTCTGCCTGGGTTGCCTTCTATTGCTACGTTGGGAGTTGGGAAACTCTGGGCCTGGGTCACCTTCCTATTGGATGAGGTCCAGGGAGACACCTGGCTACTATGCATTCCCTAGTCCTAGAGTCCCTCAGCAGCCTTTTTCTGTCCACCTTTTGGAATTCTCCATTGATCCTCTCCTGTCTATTATTTCTACAATTTGGGTTACATTTCTTAGGAGGGTATAATGTGTTATCTTCTCTAGACCAGAAATCCTTAGTGGTGGTTTCGGGTTGTAACTGTGCTAAAGGGAGAATTGGCATATTTGTGATGTCGAATCTTTCTTTTCAAATGAGGACGTATCATTATTCAGTATATAATATTTACAACACCTACTTCCTTGGGTTGAAGAATGTGGTTAAGGCAAGGAAAGTACTTAACGCAGTGCCTGGTGTGGAGAGCACTTACGAGTGTTGGTAGTGATGCTATTCCTTTTGTCCTTTGGTAGCCTATTAAAGCTTTTCTTCTTTTTTAAAAAATAAAGTTCCGGTGCACTTCTTGTTAGGTTTATTCCTATTTTATCCTTTTTTGCTTTTATTACAAATAGGAGCTTCCTATCTTTTATAATGTCTACCTGGTTCTTTGGCCCTTATGTGAAAATGTTTTAATAGCCTTCTAAATATTGCTCTCCCAAATGAGTTTTAACTTGCCTCTTTCTTTTGTTATCCTTTTTTTGAGACAGGGTCTCACTCTGTCACCCAGGCTGGAGTTCAGTGATGCAATTATGGCTCACTGCAACCTCTGCCTCCCGGGCCCCCAAAGTGCTGGGTTTACAGTGTGAGCCACTGCACCCAGCCTTACTTGTCTATTTCTTTTAAGAGTGGGAACTATAATTGAGCCCAGAGCTCCAAAAACAAATGAAGGAATGAATAAGTGAATAAGCTCTTCCCATGGGTTTGGTGTGGTTTGGGGCTCTACTCTTAATCTAAATGCTATGTTTTATATAATCTAAAATTTCCCCTAGGTGTGTTACATGATTGTGTTGTGTTGAACTTACATTGAGACTCCTTTTCACATGTACTGGTTATCAGCGTGGGACTTTTCCATTCACTCTTTGAATTATTCGTTTGGGGGACACAGATAGACCTCTGTGTCTTTCATAAAGAGTGTCCATTGGCCGGTTGCAGTGGCTCATGCCTGTAATCCCAGCACTTTGGGCGGCTGAGGAGGGCACATCACGAGGTCAGGAGTTCGAGACCAGCCTGGCCAATATGGTGAAATCCCATCTCTACTAAAAATACAAAAATGTTGGGAGGCCGAGGCGGGCGGATCACGAGTTCAGGAGATCGAGACCATCCTGGCTAACACGGTGAAACCCCGTCTCTACTAAAAATACAAAAAATTAGCCGGGCGTGGTAGCGGGCGCCTGTAGTCCCAGCTACTCGGGAGGCTGAGGCAGGAGAATGGCGTGAACCCGGGAGGCGGAGCTTGCAGTGAGCCGAGATCGCGCCACTGCACTCCAGCCTGGGCGACAGAGCGAGACTCCGTCTCAAAAAAAAAAAAAAAAAAAAAAAAAAAAAATACAAAAATGAGCCAGGCCTGGTGGCAGGTGCCTATAATCCCAGCTACTCGGGAGACTGAGGCAGTAGAATTGCTTGAACCTGGGAGGCAGAGGTTGCAGTGAGCTGAGATTGTGCCACTGCACTCCAGCTTGAGTGACATAGTGAGACTCCGTCTCCAGAAAAAAAGAAAAAAAGAAACAAAAGAGTGTCCATTATCTACACTGGAAAAATTGAGATTGGGATTTTGACATGAAGTGCGGAAATGTGGATTGGGTCCATTTAGTTTACCTAAACAGATGATGAAATACTAACCGTTTTATGAAGCATTCCCTAGTGCAAAGTTTTGCCTGTGTGTCTAGTGACGGGAGCAGTGAGAATGAGGCTTGGAACACGGAGCGCATTGTGGGCCTGTCGTGGGTGGGGCCAGCAGCACATGCATGCCAGGCTCACAGAGCAGCCTTTGGGTGTTCTTTTCCCAGAGGAGCTCTATGGTGACTTTGAAGACTTGGAAACAGGGGACGTGCACAAGGGAAAATCGGGCCCCGATACTCAGGTATGTCTTTGTTGTAGCTGGCTGTTCTTGGTCATTGTGTTCTGAGAGAGGCCCATATTGAGAAATGCAAATCTTACTTGTGATGTGTGAAGATTGCAGATGGGATGGATAGATTCCTTCCTAAAGGGTGGGGATGTGGAGACCAAAGAGAAGCTTTCTTGTTTACTTGTTAAGTTTTGGACGACAGTTACTACCGTTTCTTGCCATAGTCATTTGCCAAGTCCACTGTGATTTTTCACTCACAGAAGTCTTAGCTTCTCAGACTTACATTCAACCATTGCCATCATTCTCCTCTTTTTAAATTTAAGTGTCATTTAAAAGAATGAAGTCCCTGTTCTCCCTAATATTTCTTTAGAACAGGGTCTGGGAGCATCTGGGTGAGGGACATATCTGTTATTTTTATTCTAGTTTGTGTTCCCAGCCAGCTTAAGGAATAGCAGCTAATTGTAATGCAGATGTAACAATTTCATGTAGCAGTACCATGTTATTCAGAGACCAAGGTTATGTTGTGTTTTGTTTTGTTTTATTGATAACGATAACAGATTTTTGCTAAGATTTTTGTTTAAATAGAACTTTAAAAAATCTAATGTTTAAAGAAAAGACCTTCATAAACATACACAAAATTTTTTCTTCTGGAAATTTAAGAATGAAGATATAGAGAAACAAGAAAGAAATTGACCCTGATGAAGAAGAAAGTGCCAAGAAAAAGCATTTGGATAAGAAGAGAAAATTGAAGGAGATGTTTGATGTGGAATATGATGAAGGAGAAAGCACATATTTTGATGATCTTAAAGGAGAAATGCAGAAACAAGCACAGGTGAGAAACCTCAGTTCCTCTTAGCCCCTTGTCAAGACTATCACATAGTGCAGGAATCCCTGACTTTCTTTGGGTCCCTGCTTCCTATCCTGCTTCTGTGCCTTTCAGTTGGACTCCTGGGTAGATGCATGTGAGTGTGTTTATTCATGCAGTGAGCTCATTGTTTCTACAGTCAGAAGGTCACCAGAAAAAGATCCATACCTATTTTGTAACAAGAATTAGGAAACCGAAATGACTGAGACATGGTCTCTACTTTTGAGACTTTTACAATGTAGTGATCTAAGACAGTGTGTTCATTTCAGTGCAAGCCAATGCTGCCTATTCTGATCGCTGCTCCCTGATTTGAATGGCAGGTGATCAGTGGCCTGTGTGGCTTATGGACACACAAGAGCTCCCAGGGGAAGTGCTCTCAAAACATCCTGGTCAGAGTTCAGAAGGACATGTGGAGTATAAGGTCAGATGCGGAGATAAGGGAGATGGTGTGGCCCTCCTGCCTGGGGGTGCTGAGCAGGTTGCTGGAGGCGGTGATCTGACTCTGAAGGAGACAGACACAGAAACGTGTGTACAGTTGATGGTGAGCATCTGAGTTGCGTCTTGTTAGTGAGGCCAGGAGTGCCTGTGTAAGCTGGAACAGATTAGGTGTATGATTTGTGAAACGGAGTTTCATCCTAGGTCTTCATCTAGTCAAAGGACTGTTTCCTGATTAGGCATTAGCTTAGTGGTTGCTAGTCTGTGTTGACCTTTGAAAGGCATGACTAGGCTAACTCTGAAGTTTTTGCTTCACACCATTTACAATTTAAAATTACCTAGAGCCTTGTGTGCCATTGGAAAAGACTGAATGTTTCACTCTGAAATGGGAGTCCTTGGAGGGTTTTGAGCAGAGGAGAGACATTCAGGTAATCAGATCACTCTGCCAAGAGATCAGTCTGGTAGAGATCAGTCCGGTGGCACAAACCAGAGGGCTGGCAGTGGAGATGAGACAAAGAGTCAAACCTGGATAGAGTTTATTTGGAAGCTGGGTCAGTAGGATTTCCTGGTGGACTGAATGTGGGATGTGTGAGAGGAAATGAGGATGGCGGCTGGAAATTCCTGGAAGGATGGGTTGTTGCAGGTTAGATAGGAAACTGTCTGCAGATGCAGTTTTGGGAAGATGATGTTTGGTTTGGCTGGGTATCATGCAGACAAGCGGAGCGTCAAGTCTGGAGAGACAGGTCTGGCCAGGGACTTAGATGTACAGCCGTCAGCATGTAGATGCCACTTAACTCTGTGAGGTGGCCAGGGAGTGAGTGCAGAGTGACTGGGAGGAGCAAGACTGGCATGGGCGAGATGGGGCGATTGCGGCTGTGAGGCCTGAGCAGTGCCGAGGAGGGAGAGGGAGAAGCAGTGTGAGCATGCAGGCACGCAGGAGTCCAGTTGTACATGGAGGCGAAGCACTGTTCAGATCCCGCTGCAGTGTTAACTACGGTAAAGGCAGAGTTGACCACTGGAGGAGTCCTTCAGCGTGGAGGCCTTCAGCAATCTTGGCAAGCACCAATTTTCATGGATGTAGGAGAATGGGAGCAGAGGAACTGGAGGCTGCAACTGCGGAAAACTTTTGTGGGGTTTTGCTGCAGAGAGAAGCAGAGAAATGAAGCAGTTTTTGGTGGAAGAAGTGGAATCAAAAGGTTTTGAGATAAGAGAGAGAACAGAGGGAAGAGCTGTTGGAATAAAATCCAGGAAGAGTGGATGGTGTCTAGTGAGCAAGTGATGTGTGGCCCGGAGTAAAGGCATGGACAAATCATCTGTGCCTGAGCTGCCCGTAGAACTTTCTGTGATCATGGAGATGCACGTCTGTGCTTCCCAATATTGTAACACTGGCCGCAGGTTGATATGGACCACTTCCAGTGTGACTAGTGTGATTGAGGAACTGCATTTTTAATATTATGTAATTGTAATTAATTTTAATTTAAATAGCCACACATAGCTCCTCTATGGGCCAGGTCAGAGCTCTGATAAGGCTGGATATGGGAGGAAACCCTGGTAGAGGGTTGACCATAGAGGTTCTTTTGGTTTTGGAGTGAATCAGGAAACAGCCATCAGCTGAGTGAAGGTGAGGGTGGTGGTGGGTGTTTGAAGACAAGAGAAAAGTGTGAAAGAATTGTTTGGAGAGGAAGGAAAGAAGGTGTGGACTGGGGATGTTTCCAATGTTTGAGCACGCAGGGCTCCACAGTTATCTACATTTGCTGTCCCTTGGAGCAGGAGAGAAGAAAACGGTTGGGACATATTCTGAGCAGACTGTAGAGGTAAAATGTGTAGGTTTTTTTTGTTTTTTTTTGTTTTTTGAGATGGAATCTCGCTCTATTGCCCAGGCTGGAGTGCAGTGGCACGATCTTGACTCACTGCAACCTCCGTCTCCCAGGTTCAAGCGATTCTCTCACCTCTGCCTCCTGAGTAGTTGGGACTATAGGCAGGCACCACCACACCCAGCTGATTTTGGTATTTTTAGTAGAGACGGGGTTTCACCATGTTGGCGAGGCTGGTTTTAAACTCCTGACCTCATGTGATCTGCCCGCCTCGGCCTCCCAAAGTGCTGGGATTACAGGCATGAGCCACTGTACCCGGCCAAATGTGTAGTATTTTTAATAGGATAAAGCCTACATAATTTTGTCCACAGTTCCTTTATTTAGAAATTGCTCATTTGTTCATGTTAATCCTATGTTTATTACAGATAACAGCATACAGGTTCCCCGCCCCCCGCCCCGTCATGTACAGCTGAATCATGCAGAATTTGAAGATCAAGATGATGAAGCCAGAGTTCAGTATGAGGGTTTTCGACCTGGGATGTACGTCCGCGTTGAGATTGAAAATGTTCCCTGTGAATTTGTGCAGAACATTGACCCCCATTACCCCATTATCCTGGGTGGCTTGGGCAACAGCGAGGGAAATGTTGGATACGTGGAGGTGGGTCCTTTTGCTGCATATTTGGTGCCTGAGGCTCTGTGGATTTCCCCTCCATCAATCATCTTACCCTCTCATCCCCCTCAGATGCATCTGAAGAAACATCGCTGGTATAAGAAAATCCTCAAGTCCCGAGATCCAATCATATTTTCTGTAGGGTGGAGGAGGTTTCAGACCATCCCGCTCTATTATATCGAAGACCACAATGGAAGACAAAGGCTTCTAAAGTATACCCCACAGCACATGCATTGTGGAGCAGCCTTTTGGGGTAAAATATGATTACAATAACTTGCCTATTGCCGAGATTAAACCTTACAGGCTGCGTTATTTTAGCTTTGTGCTTTTCCTTTCATAAAATTCCACTCCTAAGATTTTTCTCTTTTCTGGGAGCGGGGAGGTGGTTTGGAGTATATATGTAAATCTATATCCAAATCTAAATGTCCATATCCAGTATGTTAAACTAGAATCTAAAGTTTGTGGTTTGCTATATTTCTTTTTTTCCTTTTCCTTTAAGACCCTATCACTCCACAGGGAACTGGTTTCTTGGCAATACAGTCTGTCAGTGGCATAATGGTAACTATCTTGGATGATTTCTTTTACAGATTGGTTTGAGAAATATATCCTGAATGTGGGTTATTATGTACATGAGACTTTAAGTTGAAAATTACTCATTTTTATTAATATAAAGTAAATTTCCCTTTGCTTTTAATCTTCGTACATCCTTTTCAGTAGGGTGTGGGATTAGAGGAGGGGAGGTGGAAGAATTATAATGGTACATTTCCTATTTTTGTGCATCTTTTGCATTTATTTATCTAAGCAAGTATTTAAGCAGTGCTCACCATGTGCTAAGCACTATATGAGGTTATGAGGAGCCATCAGAGACCACCCAGACACAAGACTCCCTGCAGCTGTGCTGGGGTAGCAGTCTGTTCACTCCATTTTCATTTGACCAGTCACGCAGGGCAGGGTTTACTGGTCCCATTTAACAGAGAAGAAAGCAGAATAATGAGCAGATGGAATCTTCCCTGGAGGTCCAAATTTTAATTTCCTAAACATTGCAACTGTATTTTTCTTTTCCATTTCGTTCCAAATAAATCATTATAGTAAAATTACATTCCTCTGAAATCACTCTCAGGAAAGTACTCAAGTAGCCTTTTTTTTTCTTTCTTTTTTTTTTTTTTTTTTGAGACAGAGTCGCACTCTGTCATCCAGGCTGGAGTGCAGTGGCACGATCTTGGCTCGCTGCAACCTCTGCCTCCTGGGTTTAAGCGGTTCTCCTGCCTCAGCCTCCCAAGTAGCTGGGATTATAGATATGAGCCACTGTGCCCAGCCTCAAGTCACCCTTGTTAGTTTGGCTTACCAACTTTAAAGTTTTGGATTGCTTTTGTCAAACCACTGGGTTGCAAGTTCAGATGGTCTCTCTTGTTTTTCTTAGCTAATTGTAAGTAAAATTCACTTTGGTAATTTATTGTGTCACATAGAATTGAAGTTTTTCTTTTGCTAATATTATTCCTATTTTCAAATTTTGGGGTTCCTGTTAGCCTGATTTTCGGATAGCTGCCACAGGAGTTGTCCTTGATCTGGATAAATCCATAAAAATTGTGAAGAAATTAAAGCTAACTGGTTTTCCACTTCATTTATTAAGGTCTGTATATCTATATATTCTCATATTTATAAATCTCCATATTGTTTGAGAAAAGGAATGAAATACCTCTAAAATATGGGCCTCATTTTTAGAAAAGTGTTTGAAATCTTTTATAAACTTCATATTTTGTTTGCTCCTTTATATTCTGTATTACTTAAATATGCTCAAAAAAGCAGTGGTAAACAGCTATTTAGGAATTGAGGCTGTTACTCCTGACTTCCATGTGAGACTGCCACAGAACTCATATTGAAAATATGTCATTTTATCCACTAGGTTTTGTTTCCTACTTTTTAAATTTGTGTTAAGAAAGGGAAAAAAATCACAAGTTTGTCTAACTCGGTAGAAAAATCGACAAAGCATTTGCAGACAACTTGGCAAGGGTACAGAGAAACGGACGTACTGTTTTTCAGTATTTGGGGAGGGTGGTTTGAGCAGCATTTATTGACAATTTCATTAGTGGGGATGTTTCTATTGAAAACACAGAGTTAGGAAGTCATAAAATGTTCTTGCAATATAAGGTAATAATACCACCAGCATTTATCTTACTGTTTTCATGTTCTAAGTGCATGCATCTGAGTAAAAGGATCTGGGCTGCAGTCCAGTCTGAGAGATGCCAGCAAAGGCTTCCTAGGCCAATTCAGTCCAGTAAATCCCTCTTCGATCTTCTCTTCCACACAGACAGCAGTGATGAGCATGCCCATGAACTCACATGATTATTTTGGGGAAAATGAAAGAGTTGTATTCTTTTTGAGGTAGTAATTCCACTTTCAGGGGCAAATACATTTTGATTATTTTATCACCCTTCAGTGAGTTGTTTTTGTTCTTTAATCAAGGATGTATGTTTGAAGTAAGAAGTAAAGCATAAAGTATATGATTTTGTGTGTGTGTGTTTTTTTATCTTGCTACACCTGTAGGGAATGTTTAATTCTGCCTTGGACGTGGCCAAATTTGAAGGTGCTGTGATTTGAACTGTCATTGGGATAAGGGGGCAGATCAAGAAAGCACTCTGAGCTCCAGAAGGAGCTTTCTGGGCCAGCTTTGAGGATAAGCTGCTGATGAGCGGTGAATGTCTTAAGTAGTATTCAGGGCAGGGTGTTACCATTCATGCTTGACTTCTAGCCAGTGTGATGAGAGGCTGGAGTCAGGTCTCCAGAGAGTTGAGCAGCTCCAGCCTTAGATCTCCCAGTCTTATGCGGTGTGCCCATTCGCTTGTGTCTTCAGCCCCCTGGCCACACCCAGTAACAGTTCTGTGATCTATGAGAATAGTTCCCTTAGCGACCTTTCCCTTCAAATACTTTGCAGCCAGGTAGAGAAGTTTGGAGTGAAGGTTTTGTTCTTTGTTTCTTCGCAATATGGATATGAATCTTCTTTTGAAAATGTTAAAGTAAATTACCTCTTTTCAGATATTGTCTTCATGCGAACTTGGTATCCTGTTTCCATCCCAGCCTTCTATAACCCAGTAGCATCTTTGTTGAAACCAGTGGGTGAGAAAGACACCTGGTCAGGAATGCGGACCACGGGCCAACTCAGGCTCGCCCATGGTGTCAGACTAAAGGCAAACAAGGACTCTCTGTATAAGGTACTGGTCGTGTGTGTGTTAGTAGAGATGAAGCCTGTGCTCTACAGACAGGGAGTCACACAGACACTTTTCTATAATTTCTTACGTACTTTGAATGTTCAAGTATAAAGTCTAACGTTAAATTTGATTGAACAATTGTATATTTTTGGGATATTTTGGAATGGAACACCAAAAAATGGTAATAGTGGTTCTTTCTGGATTGAAGACAAACTTTTCCTTTTTAAAATAAATTTTATTTTATGTATTTGAGGTTGACAATATGATCTTAAAGGATACATATAGATAGTAAACTGGTTACTATAGTGAAGCAAATTAACATAGCTACCATCTCACATAGTTAGATTTTTGTTTGTGTGACAGGAACAGCTAAAATCTACTTATTTAACAAAAATCCCAAAGACAATATATTTTTATTAACTATAGCCCTCATGATGTACACTAGATCTCTAACTTGTTCATCCTACATGTCTGCTACTTTGTATTATTTTAATGTACATCTCCCCATTTCCTACTGGTCATTTCCTATTTGGCCCATTTTTCAACTGGGTTGTTTTTCTGCTATTAAGTTGTAAGAGTTCTTTACTGATTTTTGGATATTAACACTTTATCAGATATGTGGTTTGCAAATATTTCTTCCAGTCTGTAGGTTCCCCTTTCATTTTGTTGGTTGTTCCTTTGCTGTGCAGAAGCTTTTTAGTTTGATGCAGTCCTCCTTGTTTATGTTTACATTTGTAGCCTGGCTTGTGGTGCGATATCCAAAAAATTATTGCTAAGGCCAATGTCAAGAGGCTTTCCCCCTATGTTTTCTTCTAGGAGTTTTATGGTTTCAGGTCTTATTTGGGTCTTTGGTCTTGTATCTGTTTTGAGTTGATTTTTGTGTATGGTGTATGATCAGGGTCCAGTTTTATTCTTTTGCATGTGAAAATCCTATTATTGAAGAGACTATCTTTTTTACCATTGTGTTGTCTTGTTTGCCCTTGTCAAAAATTAGTTGACAGTATATGTTTGGATTTATTTCAAAGGTCTCTGTTCTGTTCCATTGGTCTATTTTTTTGTTTTTGTGCCAGCACCATACTGTTTTGATTACTGTAGCTTTGTAATACAATTTTAAATCAAGAGGTGTGATGCCTCCAACTTTTTCTTTCACAGTAATCTGTTGGCTGTTTGGGGTTTTTTGTGGTTCCATATGAGTTTCAGGATTGTTTTTTCTTTTCTTTTTTTTTTTTTTTTTTGAGGCAAAGTCTCACTCTGTCGCCCAAGCTGGAGTGCAGTGGCATAATCTCGGCTCACTGAAACCTCTGCCTCCTGGATTCAAGCAATTCTTCTGCCTCAGCCTCCCAGGTAGCTGGGACTACAGGCACATGCCACTATGCCTGGCCAGTTTTTGTAGTTTTAGTAGAGACAGGGTTTCACTATGTTGGCCGGGCTGGTCTCCAACTCCTGACCTCGTGATCCGCCCGCTGCGGTCTCCCAAAGTGCTGGAATTACAGGCATGAGCCACTGTGCCTGGCCAGGATTGTTTTATTCTGTTCTGTGAAGAATGCCATCAGAACTTTGATGAGGATTGTGTTAAATCTGTATATTTGCTTTGGGTAGTGTGAACATTTTAACAATATTAAGTCTTCTGATCCATAAACATAGGATGTCTTTTCATTTGTTCATGTCTAAATTTCTTTCATCAATGTTTTATGGTTTTCAAGTGTACACATCTCTCACCTTCTTGGTTAAATTTATTCCTAAGTTTTTGTTTTTCTTTGATGCTATCGTAAATGAGATTATTTTCTTGATTGCTTCGTCAGCTAGGTTATTTGTATATAGAAATGCAACTGATTTTTATATGTTGAGTTTATACCTTGCAGCTTAACTGAATTGATTTAGTAGTTCTCACAGTTTTTTGTGGAATCTTTGGAGTTTTTTACATAAAGGATCTTGTCATCTGCAAATAGAGATAATTTTACTTCTTTAATTTAGTTGCCTTTTTTTCTCATCTGATTGCTCTTGCAAGTACTCTATTGAATAAAAGTGATGAGGCTGGCCATCCCTATCTTGTACTCAATCTTAGTGGAAAAGCTTTAGTTGTTCCCCACTAACTATGATTAGACTGTGGGTTTTTCATAAATGGTCTTTATTATGTTGAGGAACTTTCCTTCTATACATAAACTATTAAGAGGTTTTATCAAGAAAGGTTGCTAAACTTTGTTAAATGCTTTTACTGCATCAATTGAGATGACCATGTCGTTTTATCTTTCATTGTGTTAATGTGATATATCACATTGATTGATTTACATATTTTAAACCAGTCTTGCATGCCAGGGATAAATCCCACTGAAACACGATGTATAATGTTTTTGATGTGTTGTTGAATTCTATTTGCTAAAATTTTTTTAGGATATTTGCATCAGTTTTTAATTTATTGGAGAAGTTGACCTGTAGTTTTTCTTTGTTTGGGGTGTGTGTGTGTGTGTGTGTGTGTGTGTGTGTGTGTGTGTGTGTTTTGGTTTGGCTTAGGTATTAAGGTGATACTGGCCTGGTAAAATGTGTTTGGAATTATTTCCTCTCGCTCTGTTTTTGCGAAGAGTTTAAGAAGTAAACTCCCAGGGGATGGGAGTGACTCTGGACATGGGAGTGACATGATAGTGACTCTGGAACCTGCCGTGGTGGGACACAGCAGCATCTCAGTCTCTGTGAGGCCAGATGCAGCATCAGCAAGGACCCCAGAATGGTGGAGCCCTACTGTGGCTTGGGCCCTTAGGGGCAGGGACCAGTGCAGCAACTACTTCTCTCCCTGGGGAGGCAGGTGCCTGGGCAACTCAGATTCTCCAGAGCTAGTCCAGTTCCAAGGAAGCAGGGTTCTACAGTTGTTTGTCCTGAAGGGCAAGGTACCCCAGTTCAGCCAATGCCATTTTCCTAGGATATGGGGGTGCCATGTTGGCTCATCCCTGGCAGGTGTGGCTGCTCAGCTCAGCCAAGACACTGATTCCCTGTGAAGCAGGGCAGCGCTTCAGCTCTCGTGCAGTGGGGGGTGTGACTGCTCAGACTGGCCAAGGCACTGATTCCCTGGAAAGCAGGGCACCAAGTCAGCTCAGGCTCCAAGGGGCAGGGCACAATGGCAGCTGGGAGGGGAGGGGCACAGCAGCGTGGCCCCACAGGTGGGGTGTATGCTGTGATGTGGACATCATTTGTTCCCACCAGCCATTTGAAATTTCATCCATTTGAAATTTGATTCCAAATGTGGTGGTGTGGGAGGTGGGGCCTAGTGGGAGGTATTTGGGTCACAGGGCAGATCCTTTATGAATAGATTAATGCCTTTTCATGGGACTGGATTAGTTACCAGGAGTGGATTGTTATCAGAGTGAGTTCAGCTTCCTAGACTCTCGTGTTTCCTCTCTTGCCATGTGAGCCCCTTGCGTACACCTGTTTCGCCTTCCACTTTCCCCATGAGATGAAGCAGCCCAAGACCCTCGCCACTTGTGCTGCCCGATCTCGGACTTTTCAGACACAAGCAGGGTGAGCCAAATAAACCTTTTTTATAAAATAAGTTACCCCGAGTCTCAAGTATTCTGTTACAGCCACACTAAATGGCCTAAGACAGTGTAACAGCGGCTCGGGGGTGGTGGGCCACTAGGTGGGTGTGATATACAGCAACAGAGCCTGAGGTTGGAAGAAGGGTGCGGTGGCTGCTCCCCCTGGGTGGGACATGCTCCCGAAGTGGTCCAGGTCCAGGAGGGCACGTTGCAGCAGCAGCTGGTCCATGGGGGTGGGGCACAATGTCAGTTCCTTCTCTGAGGGGAGTGCTGGGGCTACTGGGCCCCTCTTGCTTCCTTTTCCCTGCAGGGAGATATCCCCTCTGCTTCAGGCTGATCCCTCTGGGGGAGTGGGTGGTGGGGGCCAGATGTTTCCTTCCCTCCTTTATGTGACTGTCTTGGTTTTCTGTGCTCTACTGGATTTCTGCTACTCCTTGATGCACTCTGGGGCTCTCTTTTAGTGACTTTCATCAAAATATAGTTGTTTGCTGCTTTGGGTGTCTTTGTCAGGGGATGAGTGCAAGGGGCTATTGATCAGCCCCTTGCTGGCGTCACTCCCTCTTAAACTTTTCACTGGGTACTCTTTTGAACTATTTTTTCCCCCACCGTATACATGTATTTTTTAAACGTTAATGTGCTAATTTCTACTGAAGCAATGTGGATTTTTCTGAAAGTTTTAATGTTTTAATAAGCTTTTTATTGAAATGTTAATGTACATACAGAAGAGTGCCCGAATCATAAGTGTGCATCTAGATGGACTGTAGCACACCAGGCTGCCACGCCCTGGACCAAGCAGTAGCCTTGACCTGTGGCCTCTCCCAGGCACTGCTGCCCCAACACACAAAATAGCTACTTTCCCAGTTCCTGATGTAGATTTGTTCTGCCTGGTTTTGATTTCTATAAAATACAGCACATTCTATTTAGCCTGGCTTATTTGGTTCAGTATTACAGAACACATCCATGTTCTTGTCTGTGGTAGACATTGATTTATCGTCATTGTTGAGTTCCATTATATGACTGTGTCACCATTTTTCCATTGATGAGTAAAATGATTTCCTATTTTTGGCTGTTATCCCACGGCCCTGAACACTAGGTCTGGATATGGGACTTGCAGGTATGCAGGGGCAAACGTGCTTCTGCTGGAGGATCCCTGGGTGGGGTGGAGACTCCAGGGCACCTGTGCTCTGCTTCAGTGTGGAGGCTTCTGTGTCGTGTTCTGGGAGCACAGTGTCTTGGCCTCCACCACCAGCAGCAGCTTAAAGAGTTCCTGCTGTTCCACATGCTTGCCAACAATTGGCCTCTTCAGTTTTTGTTTTTGTTTTTTTTTAGGTTTTCAGTGCCTGCCTGGACTTCTGTTTTCATTTAGATTTTGGTTTCTTAGAACTTTCGTTATTCTCTTCACAGCTTAACAATGCATTTGAATAGATTTGTTTTCATGTGGAGTATTCAGTTTTGTAATAAGAGGGTTGTTCAAGGCATCAGTCTGCCACTCTGCTGGAAATAGAAGTCTCCCAGGCATTTCTTTTTAAAGTAGTTAGTGAAATTTTGAACCATCTTACATGAATTTTTATTAAAATACACTTCAGGATGTGGTGCCCATTATCCATTCTACTCTTTTGTAACAAGTAGATTTCTCTGCATTCTTGAATTTGAAAACAACTGGGGTTCCTAAACAGAGAATATGGAATATTATTGGGGATGATGTCTTTAATAATACATTTCAAGATAGGAGAAACCTTTTCTATATAGTTGACTTTAATAAAAGCCTAGGGCAAAACTTTCAATATATTAACAGTATTTATGAGGCAGTTAAGAATTTGGGTCATCTCCGTCTCCACTAAAAATACAAAAAGTTAGCCAGGTGTGGTGGTGGGCGCCTGGGCTACTTGGGAGGCTGAGGCAGGAGAATGGTGTGAACCCGGGAGGCGGAGGTTGCAGTGAGCCGAGATCATGCCACTGCACTTTAGCCTGGGCGACAGAGCGAGACCCTGTATCAAAAAAAAAAAAAAAAGAATTTGGGTCATCTCAATTAAACATAGAATTTAAGATTACGTTGAAAATTCAGTACAGAGTATTTTGCCTTCATCTGTTGTTTGAGTCTCCCTTCTTTTAGCCATCCTTCCATCAGAAATAGAATACCAAGTTAAACTTCTTAATTAGAATCAGGAATCAGGACTCTTTGGCTGCTGATTGAAGGAAGAACTGTCCTTAAATCCAGAGTGGGCCGGGCATGGTGGCTCATGCCTGTAATCCTAGCACTTTGGGAGGCCAAGGCAGGTGGATCACCTGAGGTCAGGAGTTCAAGACCAGCATGACCAACATGGTGAAACCCCATCTCTACTGAAAATACAAAAATTAGCCGGGCGTGGTGGTGTGTGCCTGTAGTCCCAGTTACTTGGGAGGCTGAGACAGGAGAATTGCTTGAACCTGGGAGGTGGAGGTTGTGTGAGCCAAGATCGCGCCACTGCACTCTAGCCTGGGTGACAGGGTGAGACTCCATCTCAAAAAAAAATCCAGAGTGTTTGGTAGTCAAGACAAAAAGCTAGATTATTTTTGTTAGTCTGGGAAATAAGCACCTTAGTGGCCCAAAGACAAGGCCTGAAATTTCCATGAAAAGAAACTGGGATCTATTCATCTGTTCTGTTGAGACCTCATAGTTCCATACCACAGAAATAGGCACAGTGGGTTTCGGGGGGAGAGTTGTAAGTATAAGCTCTCTGTTCCTCTATATTGGCCATCTATAGACCTTCTTTGGAGAAATGTCTATTCAAGTCCTTTGAATCAGATTTTTTGTTGTTGTTGAATTGTAGAAGTCCTTTTTATATTCTGGATATTAAACCCTTATCAGGTAAACCATTCACACATATTTTCTCTCGTTCTTCGGGGTGTCTTTTCACTCTGATAGTGTCCTTTGATGCGCAAAGGTATTTTAATTTTGGTGAAGTCCAATTTATTTTTTCCTTTGTTGCCTGTGCTTTTAGTGTCATAGCCAAGAAATTACCAAATTATTGTTTAGTTTTTTAAAAGTATTTATGTGGTTATTTGGCTGATACCTGTCTCTAATGATTGACGGCACTTCTTGAGCGCGGCTTTTAAACATGCAAATTTGATGTCACTTTCCGAGGCTCCTTCCATGGCATCCCTTTGCTTCTAGGCCGCAGCCCTTGTCTGGCCTCGCTGCTGCTCTGGCCCCTGCCCTCCTCTAGGGCCTCTCTTCTGCTGCCTCCAGCTCTGGCCACAGTGGCCTTTCATTCCTCAGTGCACTTGCCTGGGGTCCTCAACACTTGCAGTTCCCTCTGCCGGGAATGCGGCAGCTCCTACGTCCCCCTCCCGGCCTCCACCTCCTCGCTGCTCCTTCGGACGCTGGTCCTGAGACCACTGGTCGGTGCGGCCTTCCCTGGACCCTCTCCAAACTCCCCAGTACTCCTCCACACTTTTCTCCAAAAAACCAGTGGCACTCAATTGTGCCGTCCAGGGACCCCTGGGATTTTCACGACCCTGTCAGTGGCTGAGTGAGGTTGAGTCAAGAATGTTTCGTGACAATAAGGAGATGTTATTGATCTCTTTTCACTGGAAGTGGGAGCGTCTTGCGGGGGGACAGCGGGCTGAGGATGCAGCTGTGTTAGGACGTGACAGCTCGCACAACTGAAGCACCACCACTTTCCCACGGTTTTTTTTTTTTTTTTTTTTTGCTTTGGAAAACATTTCTCACAAAATATGCAACTTATGTTACCATGTAATGGGCTTGCTTCTGTTACTTTAAAACAAACTAATAAATCTCTTAAATGTTTCTCAGCTTTATTTTTTGTTGTTATGGTTCGTTTTCTTCTGTTTCCCCCAGCTTTATGAAAGTTTAATTGACAAACTTGCCTATCTTTACTGCTCACAGCGTGCTGCTTTGCTGTATGTGTGCCCTGTGGAATGCTTCCTGGTGCTGCTGCACACCTCCATCACCTACTGCGGTGAGGGCCCCTGGGATCTGCGCTCCCGGCGCTGCGCCCTCGCCCCACCGCTGTGCCTGAGCGCCCCCCCCCCCCATCCCGCCCGGGGACCCGCGCCCGCTCCTGGAACCGCACCCATGGCCAGCGCCCTGTCCCCAACCCCGCTTTAGTTTCCACCCACGCGAAGAAACTCAGCCTCGGTCCTGTTTAGGCACGGAAAGGGCTGGAGAACCGCGTCCTTCCGAGGCGCCCCCAGCGCGGCTCCCCACAGCGTGCAGGACCCCGGACTGTCGCGCCGCGCCCGGGGACGCACAGGAGGTGGGATCCAGGAGCGAAGCCCCTGCAGCGTCCCAGACTGGACGTGGCCCTGCACCCCCAGCTGCTGGGCTGGCCGGGACATGCATGAGATCGCGCGCTTTACAAACTGTTGTTCTTTCTGGGAAAGTTAAAGAACGCGCTGCAGCCGCTTCGCCTGCTGCTGAAAGGAGCCAGGCAGGGCTGGTCACTCCGCGCCACGCCCCGTGCGCCAACACCGGAAGGTGAATGTTCAGAACATTTTTATCATTTAAAGCCAGTATACCGGCTGGGCGCGGTGGCTTACACCTGTAATCCCAGCTACTTGGGAGGCCCAGGCAGGAAGATCCGATTGAGCCCAGGAGTTCCAGAGCACCCTGGGCAACATGGCAAGACCCTATCTCTACAAAAAAAAAAAAAAAAAAGCCGGGCGTGGTGGTGCGCACCTGTGGTCCCAGCAACTCGGGAGGCTGAGGCGGGAGGATGACCTGAATTCAGTAGGTCTCCAGCCTGGGCGACAGAGCGAGACCCTGTTTACTAATAAATAAAGCCAGTGTACCTAAAATACCATCATAACATGGAATCAGTATAAAAATGATTATTGAACTACTTGACATTCCTGTTTTGTGCTAAGTCTTTGAAATTTGGTGTAGTGTTTTGTTTTCTTTTCTCTTTTGAGACAGAGTTTCCCTCTTGTTGCCCGGGCTGGAGTGCAATGGAATGATCTCAGCTCACTGAAACCTCAGCCTCCCAGGTTCAAGCGATTCTCCTGCCTCAGCCTCTGGAGTAGCTGGGATTACAGGTGCCCGCCACCACGCCCGGCTAATTTTTTTGTATTTTTAGTAGAGACAGGGTTTCGTCATGTTGGCCAGGCTGGTCTCGAACCCCTGACCTCAGGTGTTCCGCCTACCTCAACCTCCCAAAGTGCTAGGACCACAGGCATGAGCCACTGTGCCCGGCCCGGTGTGTACTCTTATAACACCTCTCAATTCAGGTCTAAATTTTGTGGGAAATAATCTATATTTAGGTTTCACAGTATTCACAGTTGAAAAAATAGATGTATATCCCCTTGTTTCAAATGTAACTGAACCTAGTCCCTTGTTTGAAATTCAAATTAATTGAAATTAAAAATTTCCAGTTCTCGGCAGCAGTTGCACATTTCAAGGGCTCAATGGCCCCATGTGGCAGTGGTCCCGTAGAGGACGGCACAGCTCTAGACATGGTGTAGGAAGTTGGAGAAGGCTTCCTTAGGGAAGCAAGTGACGGTTGAGCCATGACCAGAAGTTGGTTAACTTGGCAAAGGCTGGGAGTTGGGGAAGCAGAAGAGTGTGTCAAGCACAGGAATGTTATGTGGAAAGGCCTGTGACACAGGGCATCATGACGCCTGCAAGCCAGCGTAGCTGGAGCCAGGACAGCGGCAGAGTCCTAGGAGCTGGGGAGGAAAATAGAGAGGCAGGGGATGAGGCCGCCTTAAGATGCTATCTTCATCCCAAGACACCAGGAAGCCCTGAGAGAACATTTAACCGGGACAGCATGGTCAGATTTTCATTTTTCAAAAAGCCCCTTTGCTACTGGGTGGAGATAGTTTGCAGGGAGTTCAGGGGGAGGAGGCACAGAGAGGGAGAAGTGGTGGGTGCTAGAGCTCTGAGAGGTAACATTGGAGGGGTAGTGGGTCTGGGGGTTGTGAGGAACAAGGGGTTTTCGGGGAGTACCCCAGGGCCCCCAGGTGTCTGGCTGGGATGCCAGGTGGAGTGATGGGCACCTGTGGGACAGCCAGGTAGAGACATCTGAGGCGGCAGCTGGGGAACTGTCTGGAACTCCGGTTGATGTGCTACCTGGGCTTAAGATGTACTCCCAAGAGTTACCAACACCTACACTTGGGAGTGGGTACATTATCCAGGGAGGAGCCAAGATTGAACACAGGTGGGTTTTTGTTCAGCATTTTAAAAATTTTTAATTTTTTTTTGTAGAGACAAGGTCTCACTATGTTGCCCAGGCTGGCCTCAAGAGATCCTCCTGCCTTGGCCTCCCAAAGGGCTGGGATTACAGGCGTGAGCCACCGGTCCCAGTCTGTTCAGCACTTTTTCCACTAGCTTAGTATCTCCACACACCTCAAAGAGATCACCAAGTCCAACTCATACATGCAAACCAGTGCTCAGGAAGTCCACATGATCCTGCTGTGGTTCATTTGACCAAAACCGAGTGGTGGAGCTAAGCAAGGCTGTTTCACAGAAGCCAGATATATAAGTGGCCTCAATACGGAGGGCAGTCTCCATCTCCCAGTGTCTCTGACTGCTGCACGCACACTTGGCAACCTGTGCTCAGGTCAGGGATAGTCTGGGTGGGGGCTCCAGTTTCTGCCACTCACCAGTGATGTGACTCTGGGCAATGTACAAAATCTCTTGGGTTTTAAGTTTCTTATCTGTAAGATGGGGATAATAAACCAATCTTGCAGCATGTGAGGATTTAATGAGACTACAGTTCCCATGAAGGGGATGGGGTGCCAACCTTCCCACACAGTCAAAAATCCACATATAGGCCAGGTGTGGTGGCTCACGCTTGTAATCCCAGCACTTGGGGAAGCTGAGGTGGGTAGATCATGAGGTCAGGAGTTTGAGACCAGCCTGATCAACATGGTGAAACCCCGGCTCTACTAAAAATACAAAAATTAGGTGTGGTGGTGCGCACCTGTAATCCCAGCTACTCAGGAGGCTGAGGCAGGAGAATTGCTTGGACCCAGGAGGTGGAGGTTGCAGTGAGCTGAGATCTCACCACTGCACTCCAGCCTGCAGGACAGAGCAAGACTCTGTCTCAAAAAAAAAAAAAAAAATCCACATATAACTTTCAACTCACCACAACTTTTGTTAATAGCCTACTATTGGCCAGAAGCCTTACCAATAACATAAACACTCAACACATATTTTGCATGTGATTTGTATTGTATACTGTATTCTTACAATGAAGTAAGCTACAGAAAAGAAAAAGTACTAATAAAATCATAAGGAAGAGAATGTATTCACTATCACTAAATGGAAGTGGATCATCATAAAGGTTTTCATCCATATCGTCTTCACATTGAGTAGGCTGAAGAAGAGAAGAGGTTGGTCCTGTCATCTCAGGGATGGCAGAGGCAGAAAAGGTCAGGGAGATGGGAAGGAAGTCAGGAGATGCACACACACTGAGAAATTCATCGTTATTTCTGTCTGACATTTTTGCTTTTTCATTTCTCTAAATATGTTTCTTTATGTTACCAATCCTTCTTCCACCATTTGCTTTAGTTTTGGTGTCCGTACCATAGAAAGGTCCATGTGGTAGAAGTCACAAGTAGTCTTGAATAATCAGAACTCCTCTGCCAGATTGTCGAATGTCAACTTATTTTCTGGCACTGCATCTACATCCTCTTCCTCATCATCTGGCACTGATTCGAAAACACTCATCTCCATCAAGTGGTCTTCTGTTAATTCCTCTGGTGTGATGTCTCTTCACTCTTGAATTTCTCCAAGATCCATATCCTGAAAGCCTACATTCCCCACCTTTTTTGCCACAGGCACACTCTCTTTCATGATTTCCTTGATTGGCCCTGTTGTAAATCGGGACCAGTTTTCTCCAGTAGGAAGGCTGGGCACTGAGAGCCTTCGAACCTTCTGCTTCACCTTTTGACATATAGGGCCCAATTTTAATGCATTTAAATGTTGCCTCCACTCCAAAATGAATATGGGACGTATGTAATGTGTGAAATAGGTGTGTCTCACCCCCTTCATGAATATTAATAGAGCCTTCTATAATCTGTTGAATATGTACGTTTAGCCAACCCTTTCAGCATAACTTCCTGTCTCATCTTTCCCTGGAAGTGCCTGCTTTTGGTCTTTGCTGGAGGCTACACTTCCCAGCCTGTCAAGATGGCCAGCCTGCAGGCTGCAACCTTTCTAAGAAATAAAGCTTTTGGGCTGGCCCAGTGGCTCACGCCTGTAATCCCAGCACTTTGAGAGGCTGAGTTGGGTGGATCACTTGAGACCAGGAGTTTGAGCCCAGCCTGGCCAACATGGCGAAACCCCATCTCTACCTAGAAAAAAATACAAAAATTAACCAGATGTAGTGGCATGTGCCTGTCTTCCCAGCTAATCGGGTGGCTGAGGCAGGAGAATTGCTTGAACCTGAGAGGCAAAGGTTGCAGTGAACTGAGATCGCACCACTGCACTCCAGCCTGGATGATAGAGCTAGACTCTGTCAGACAAAAAAAAAAAAGAAAGAAAATAAGGCTCTTGGCCTGGCACAGCGGCTCATGCCTGTAATCTCAGCACTTTAGAAGGTCGAGGTGGGAGGATTGCTTGAGTTCAAGAGTTCGAGACCAGCTGGGCAAGATAGTGGGACCCCTGTCTCTACAAAAACAAGTTTGAAAATTAGCCAGGCATGGTGGCACACACCTGTAGTTCCAGCTACTTGGGAGGCTGAGGTGGGAGATTGCCTGAGCCCAGGAGGTTGAGGCTGCAGTTAGTCATGATTGTGCCACTGTACTTTAGCCTCTCCAAATTTGTAGATCTCATAATTTTAAGTCACCAACCTCCACCAGTCTCATTTTAGGTTGTCATATAATGACATCAGTTTTTCTTGAATCATATTAGAGTCTATAGATATGCTTTTCTTGTAGATATCCTTCACCCAGATAAAAGCTGCGTTTTCTCTATTTCTCTGTCCTTCCTTCCTTCTTTCATCTTTTTTTTTTTCACCCTGACAGAGCCTCGCTTCCAGGCTGGAGTGCAGTTGTGTGATCTTGGCTTACTGCAGCCTCCACCTCTTGGGCTCAAGTGATCCTCCTGCCTCGGTCTCCCAAAGTACTGGGATTAAAGGCATGAGCTACTACATCCAGCCAAAAGCTACATTTTCAAGACTAGATAAAAAGGTATTTGGCAAAAAGAGCAAAGTTTCATGTCTGCTAGCATGGCTGCAGTGATGACACTGCGAATTTCCTTTTCTTATTTTACAGCGGTTCTTAGGCTGGATTAATTTATCTTGAAATGGTGGGCAACCACAGCTGCAGACCTCAGTCTACAGTACATATCAATCAATCCATCTTTTTCTTGTACTGTCTTTTCTCTGCTTCTTGGCAGCACTTCCAGCATCACTAGTGGCATTTCGTACATGTCTTCTTCAGGTTTATTGTATTGCACTAAACATGAAAAATACATGAGAACCACAAGAGATTACTTTTCACTGTGATACACAATCTACAGGAGAGACAAGTGCTCACGTGGAGATGGCTAGTGTCACATGGCATTTTAAGTGGACACTGGACACCTGAGCTCACTGCAATAGTAGCAGGAGGGGTGACAGAATTATTACAGTAGTACAGTGGGCTCCCATTAATTTATGCAATTATGACTTAATACTGCATCTTTACATTTGTTTACATTTCTCTTGACTGGCACCATGTACTGTGTTTGTGTGCATAACTTTTGATAAATTTTAACTGTTTATAATTGATATATGTATGTTTATAAATGATATATGTATGTTTTATGGTGGTAAATGATAAAAATATGCTAGTATTTTATGCATTCATGACATACCTTTTTCTTAACTTTTTCAATATTTCTAGGCTACAAGGTTCATCTGCAAGTTTCTTCAAATGGTTGCAATGCTTAGTGCAACCTCCATCTCCTAGGCTCCAGTGATCCTCCTGCCTCAGCCTCCCAAAGTGCTGGGATTACAAGCATGAGCTACTACATCTGTCCAAAAGCTGCATTTCCAAGACCAGGTAAAAAGGCATTTGGCCAAAAGAGCAAGGTTTCACATCTGCTGGCATGGCTGATGTGAAATTTTCCAATACATTTTTCCAATATATTTATTGAAAAAAAAAGTGGACCAGGTGTGGTGGTTCATGCCTGTGATCCCAGCAATTTGGGAGGCCAAGGTTGGGAGGGTTACTTGAGTCCTGGAGTTCAAGACCAGTCTGAGCAACATAGCAAGACCCCGTGTGTGTTGTTTTTTTTTTTTTTTTTTTTTGAGACGGAATTTCGCTCTTGTTGCTCAGACTGGAGTTCAGTGGCATGATCTCGGCTCACTGCAACCTCCACCTCCTGGGTTCAAGTGATTCTCCTGCCTCAGCCTTCTGAGTAGCTGGGACCACAGGTGCATGCCACCACACCCAGATTTTTTTTTTTTTTGTATTTTTAGTAGAGATGAGGTTTCACTATGTTGGCCAAGATGTTCTCAATCTCCTGACCTCGTGATCTGCCCATCTTGGCCTCCCAAAGTGCTGGGATTACAGGCATGAGCCATTACGCCTGGCCAACCCCATGTCTATTTAAGAAGATTTAATTTAAAAAAGAAATTTTTTTAAGAAAAAATCTGTATGTAGGTGGACCCATGTAGTTCAGACTTGTGTTGTTCAAGGGTCACAACTGTACCTGTGGTGACTGATACGAAACAGATGACCAAAAAATGATAGTTTTATTTCCCCATCTGGTCCCATTTAAAAGAGGTGTTTAGGTCTGAGAATTTTCACACGTACAAGGTTCCACAGTCAGGATGCCGAGGAATGGCACCCCTCTTGCTGGAGTCCAGCCCTCCCCACCCAACCCTGCTGACTGCTGATTTGCCTTCTATCCCTGTCACGCCATTGTCTCAGGAAGGTCATGTGAGTGGAGATATGCAGCATGGGCTCTTTGTAACTGGCTGCTTTCGCTAAGCATCATGTTTTTGAGATCCACCCCAATGCTCTGTGTGTCAGTGACATGTTCCTTTCAATTGTGGAATGGTGTTAGCCTACACAGGGAGACACAGGTGGTTACCTCTTCAGCCATGGGAGGACGTGTGGTTGTGTCCAGATTTAGGCGATTATGCATAGAGTTGCCATAAACATTTCTGCAGAGGTTTTCATGTGAACACAAATTTTCCTTACTCCAGGAAAATTCGTTATGGGACTGCTGGGCCATGTGGTTTAACAGAACTGTCAAACTGCTTTCCAGTGGCACCTCACTATGGTTTTGATTTGCATTTCCCTAGTGATTAGTGTCGATGGTCTCTCATAGGCTTTCTGTCTTCCACATAGAGCGTCCTCTTCAGTGAGGGTCCAAGTCTTTTACCCACTTTTGTTTGGATGGTTTTCTAACTTGATTTTAAGAGTTCTTTATATATGTCAGACTACTTTCTTCGTTGGATATGTGGTTTGTAGATATTCTCTCCCAGCCTATAGCTGTCTTTTCAGTGTCTTTTAATAGTGTCTTTTGCAAAGCTATATTTTTTATTTTGATCAAGTCTAATTGACGGATTTTTGTTTTTACATGCATTTGGCATCATGTCTAAGAACAATTTCCCTAACCTCAATTAATGAAGATTTCTTCCTATGTTTTCTTCCAAAACTTTAAACACTCTCTCTCTCTATCTCTCTCAGCAAATAAGGAGGAAAGTTTCATGACAATTGCAGTCCTGGTTTCTGTAGCTGGTCACATGGTCCTATAACTACCTTCTTGCACTCCCCAGTCTGTATTCCCTTTGCCTTCAGGAAGCCTCCACTGGTTGTGGTTTTTAACCTGGTGGGGGAACCTTCATTCCTGAAGGTTCTGGACCATTATTAATCCTGCCGAGATTGGGCTGTTGTGCTTTTCCATTGATCTTAATCACAGCGCATGCCACGAGGGCCCTCCTGTACCCCAGACATGCTCTTCCTCAGTCCATTGTGAAGCAGCAGGGCAGTTTCTCCTTGGTGATCTGGACCAGCCACCCCCACCAGCGTAGTTAACTCCTTCTTTACCTGTTGATCCAGAGGCATGAGGAGCTTGGTGCCACCAGATGGCAGCCTAAACTTCCAGCGCAATGGATCATCCCTCTGTCTTTTGGCGGCAGCATTCCTCCCTCTGGAACTAAGACCTCTAGGCCAGCAGAGCATAAGGTGGTGGGGACAAGGAGCAAAACTTTTGCTAGTGGGTCACTAGGGGTGATGGGGTTTCACCCTGTTGGCCAGGCTGGTCTCAAACTCCTGATCTCAAATGATCCACTCGCCTCGGCCTCCCAAAATTCTGGGATTACGAGCGTGAACTACTGCACCCAGCCTAGTGCTAATCACTTTTTAAAAAGCCATTCTAATATGTAGTGATGTCTCATTGTGGTTTTAATTTCAACTTTCCTAATGGCTAATGTTGCTGACCATCCTTTCATGTACAAAGAATATTTGCTTTGGTCAAATATCTGTTCATGTCATTTGCGCATTTTTAATTTGATTACTTATTTATTTTATGTTGAGTTCTGAGAGTTCTTTATTCTTGACACAAGTTCTTTGTCAGATATGTGATTTGCAAATATTTTCTCTCATTCTGTAACTTATCTTTCCATCATCCCAATTGCGTCTTTTGCAGAGCAAAAAAAAATTTAATTTTGATGAGGTCCAATTTATCAATTTTTTCTTTTATAAATTGTATTTTGATGTCAAGTCTAAGGGCTCTGCCTAGTCCCTGATCCTGAAGATTTTCTTCTTTTTTTTTTCCTGAAAATATTACAGTTTGACATTTAAGCCCATGATCCTTGTGTTATGTTTTGTATAAAATGTGAAGGTCAGGCCAAGCCTCATCTCCTTGCCTATGGATGTCTGATTGTTCCTGCAGCACTTGCTGAAAGGGCTATCAGTCCTCTACTAAACTGCTGTTGCATCTTTCTCAAAAATTAATTAAGCATATTTCTGGGGTGGGATCTCTATCTTGCACCAGTAATTAATGTGTCTCTCCCTCCACCAGCACCATACTGAGTTGATTACTGTAGTTGTAGAGTAAGCTTTAATAATTGGTACAGTGATTTCTTCTATTTAATTATTCTTTTTCAGAATTGTTTCAGCTAAACTAGGTCCACTTCCTTTTAATATAAAGTTTACAATAAGTTTGCATATGTATACAAAAAACAATGCCAAGATTTAGAATTCTATTAAACCTGCAATTTGAAGGAAGCTGACATCTATGTTGAGAATTCCCATCCCTGAATATGGCATGACTCTCCATTTATGTAGATGTTTGATTTCTTTCAGCAGAATTTTGTAATTTGCATATATTCTCCTGTATATGTTTTATTAGATTTATTCCTACATATTAATACTTCATGTATTTTGAGCAGTTGTAAATGGTATTGCAGTTTTTATTTTGGTTTCCACTTGTTTATTGTTACCATAGAGAGATGTAATTTGTGTATGTGTGTTATTCTTGTGTATTGCAGCCTTGATATTCTCACTCTTTATATCAAGGATTTTTTTTTTGTTCCATGGGACTGTTTATGTAGATGATTATGCCACATGCAAGTAGTGATAGTTTTCTTTCTTTCTTTTCAATCTGCATACTTTTTATTTCTTTTTCTGGTCTTATTACACTGGTTAGAACTTCTAGTACTATCTTGAATTAAAATGGTGAAAGGGAACATTCTTGCCTTGTTCCTGCTCTTAAGGGGAAAGCATTCATTCTTTCACCATTAAGTGTGATGTTAACTGTAGATTTTTGTAAATGCTCTTTATGAAGTTGGAGGAAATTACCCTCTATTCCAAGTTTGCTAAGAGTTTATATCATGAATGGGTTTTGAATTTTGTCAAAACCTTTTCCTATGTCAATTGATAAGATCATTATGATTTTTCTTCAGTTTACAAAACAGAATATGTGGATTGGCTTTTCAAATATTAAAACAGTCTTGCATAACTTGAGTGAAATTCCTCTTGATTGTGGTCTACTACTCTTTTTATGCATCACTAAATTTGATTTGCTGACACTGTCTTGAGGATTTTTCCATCTAAGCTTATGAGCAAAATCAGCCTGCAAGGTTCTTTCCTCTGTCCCTGCCTCCTTCCTCCCTCCCTTCCTTCCTTCCTTTGTGCTGTCTTTGTTTTGTTTTGATATCAAAATAATGATATCATAGTCCTTTCTCTTCTATTTTCTGGAAGAGACTGTGTAAAACTGGTGTTGATTCTTCTTTAAATATTTGGTAAATTCTCCAGTGAAACCACTGGGTCTGGATATATTGTGTTCAGGAGCTTTTTAGTTACAAATCCAATTTATATAATGATTATAGGACTATTCAGGCTTTTATATATTTCATCTTTTCTGAGTTGTGGTAATTTGTGGTTTTCAAGGAATTGATCCATTTTTTCCTAGGCTGTCAAATGTATGAGCATAAAATTTTTATAGCATTTTTCATAGATGCAGCCTCTTTTGTGATATTTCTTGTTTCATTCCTGATATTGCTGATTTGTGTGTTATCTCCTTTTATCTTTGTTGATCATGCTAGAGGATTATCAGTTTTATTAATTTTTTGAAGAACCTGTTTTTTATTTCCTTAATGTTCTGCATTGCTTTCCTGTTTTTAATTTCATCAATTTCTGCTCTTCGCTTTCCGTCCTATTTGCCTTAACTTTATTTTACTATTCCTCTTTTAGTTTTTTGACTACTGGTTTGAGAACTTTCCATATTACTAATATAAGGATTTAGTGCTATAAATTTCTCTCTCAGCTCTGCTATAGCTGAATCCCTCAATTGTTTTTTAAGACAGGGTCTCATTCTGTCACCGAAGCTGGAGTGCAGTAGCACAATCTCCACTCGCTGCAGCCTCAACCTTCTGGGCTCAAGCAATCCTCCCTATCTCAGCCTCCCAAGTAACTGGGACTACAGGTGCATGCCACCACACCTGGATAATTTTTTGCAGAGATAGGGATTTCACCATGTTGCCCAGGCTAGTCTTGAACTCCTGGGCTCAAAAAGCGATCCACCTGCCACAGCCTCCCAAAGTGCTGGGATTACAGGAGTAAGCCATTGCACCCAGCCTCATCCACAAATTTTGATATGCCATATTTTCATTGTTACTTGCTTTTTAAAAATTCCCTTTGAGACTTCTTCTTGTCCACATTGTATATAAATGTTTACTGCTTAATTTCCAAGTGTTTGCAGATTTTTCTCTTGTCTTTCTGCAATTTATTTCCAGTTTGATTCCATTTTGGTCAGAGGACACTCTTTGTATGATTTCAGTTTTTAAAAATTTGTTAAGGTTTGTTTTAAGATCTAGAGTCTGTTCTATAAGAGCTTGAAAATAATGCATAGTTTGCTGTTGATGGATAGAGTTTTCCATAAATGTTAATTTTACCCTATTGGCTAATAATATTGTTTAGTTATCCTATATTCTTGCTGATTTTTTTTCTAGTAATTTTACAAATTCTGAAAGTGAGATGTCGACATATCCCAACTATAATTATGGATTTTTCTATTTCTTTTTTAAGCTCTATCAGGTTTTGCTTCATGTGTTTTGAAGCTGTGTTGTTTGGTGCACATATATTTAGGATCAAGATATACTCTTGCTCTTTTGTTATTATGTAATATTCCTCTTTTGTTCTAGAAATTCTTTTTGCCATGAACTCTATCTGATATTATTATAGCAACTCCTGCTTTTTTAAAAGTTCCTGTTTGTTTGCATGAAATTTTTTTTTCTGTTCTTTTTTTTTTTTTTTTTTTTTTTTTTTTTGAGACGGAGTCTCGCTCTGTCGCCCAGGCTGGAGTGCAGTGGCGCGATCTCGGCTCACTGCAAGCTCCGCCTCCCGGGTTCACGCCATTCTCCTGCCTCAGCCTCCCGAGTAGCTGGGACTACAGGCGCCCGCTACCACGCCCGGCTAATTTTTTGTATTTTTAGTAGAGATGGGGTTTCACCGTGTTAGCCAGGATGGTGTCGATCTCCTGACCTCGTGATCCGCCCACCTCGGCCTCCCAAAGTGCTGGGATTACAGGCGTGAGCCACCGCGCCCGGCCTTTTTTCTGTTCTTTCACTTCGAATCTGTTAAAAACCTATGCCATGGTATTAGAACTGAATATCTTATGGACATCATATAATGGGTCATATTTTTGCATTTACTCTGCTATTTCTGTGTTTTTCCCAGATTTAACCAAACTGCAAAGTCTGAGGGCATGGTTCCTAAAATTTCCCTCATTCCTGACACCAACAGCAAGTTTTAGAGGTTTCCAAAGCACCCTAAGTTTCAATCATTTGCTGGAAGAACTCACAGAAGTCATTGAAAACTGCTGTACACATGGTTACTGTTTACTGCAGGGAAAGGATACAAATCAGAACCAGCACAGAGAGCAGGGCTAGGAGGGTCTGTGAAGCCTCTGTTGTCCTCAGGTGCATTACTCTCCCAGCATCCACGTGTGACAATACCATGAAGCACTGCCAACCTAGGAACCTCACCCAAGCCTTGGTGTCCGGAGTGTTTCCTGGAACTGCATTGTGCAGCCATAATTGACTGATCTGTTGGAGACTGGTTGGAACTCTGTCTTCATCTCTCCCTTTCCCGGAATCTGGGGCTGACAGCACATTCCTGGGAGGGCCCACCATGAGCCAGCTGGTAGCATAAACTTCAGGTATAGTCTGAGGGACCCACCATGAATAGCAAAGACCCTCCTGTCACATGGTCTTCAGGACTACTTGCCAGGAGCCAGGACAAAGGCTAGACCTCTTCTTTGGGCTAGGCCAAATTCTTTACCACACAGAAATCATATTTAGGATTCAAATGTGCCATTTTTATTTGCTTTCTGCATGTTTCTTATGTTTCCTTTATTCTGTTTTGTTTCACTTGTCATGGATTACTTAAACAGTTTTTAGCATTTCATTTTGAATTATTTATACTTTTGGGTGCATTGCTTTGTATCGTTTTCTAAGTGGCTGCTCTAGGATTGATTATAATATACCCATGTAACTTATCACAGCCTGCTGGCATCAATGTTTCACCACTTCATGAGAAATATCAAAAGCTTACTTTTATTTACTTCCCCTTTTCCTCCCCCACTTAAACATGTAATTATCATAAATATTTCCTGTTCAGATGTAGAGCACCGCAGCAGATGATGTTAATATTTTTTGCTTCAACCATAAAATACAATTTAAGAAACTCATCATAGTCTATTATACTTACCATATGATTACCCCTTCTGTTGTTGCTATTTCTGATTTCCTTATTTCCTTTTCGTTAGTAGAGCTTCCTTCAGCCATTTATTAAGGGTAGGTTTTCTGGTAACAAATTATCCTAGTTGTCCTTCCTCTTAGAATATCTTTATTTCCCCCTCATCCCTGAAGGATACGTTCACTGAATAGGGTTCTGGGCAGACAGTTTTTCTCAGCACCTGGTGATGGTGTGTCGCCCCCTCTGCCTCGTGGTTTTAGAGAAGCCCACCATCCTCAGAACCAGCGTCCCTTAATGCATCGTTTTTCTCTGGTGGTTTAAAAGATTTTTTTCTTCATCTTTCCTTTCCTGAAGTTCCGTTATGATGTGTTTATCCTATTTGGGGTTTGCTCAGATTCTTGAATCTGCAGGTTTACTTCTTTCACCAAATTTGGGACATCTTCAACCACTGTGCCTTTGAATACTTTTTCACCACACATTCCTTCCTCTCCTCCTGGGACTCTGGTGACAGGAACGCTGGGCCTTTTGTCACTGTCCCACCCATCCCCGAGGAGGCGTTCATTTCTCAGTCTCCTATCTCTCCATCGTTCCTATGGGCCAGCTCTATTAATTGTCCTTGAATCAAGAGACTCTGTTCTCTGTCGTCTCCACTCTGCTATTGTACCCAACTGCACATTTTTTCATTTAGTTATTGTATTTTTCAGTTGTATGATTTTCATTTTGTTCTTGTTTCAAGAAAATTCACCATTGTTTTCTGAAGCACTTTTATGATGGCTGCTTTAAAGTTCTAACATCTGATTTATCTTGGTTAATCTTATTTTGCTATTTAAGTTGTTTTTTGTTTTGCTCTGTTATGTTTTTGAGACAGAGTCTTACTCTGATGCTCAGACTGGTGTGCAGTAGCATGATCTCGGCTCACTGCAGCCTCAAACTGCCGGGCTCAAGCAGTCCTCCTGCTTCAGCCTCCTAAGTAGCTGGCACCACAGGTGTGTGCCACCACAGGTGTGTGCCACCACAGCTGGCTAATTTTTAAATTGTTTGTAGAGACAGGGTCATGCTGTGTTGCCCAGGCAGATCTCAAACTCCCGGGCTCAAGCCATCCTCCTGATTGACCTTCCAAAGTGCTGGGATTACAGGTGGGAGCCCCCTCACCAGGCTTCAAGTTGCTTTTTATGTTTCCTGATATGACAAATAATTTCAAATATGTTCTGGAGATTTCGGTTATTATGTAAGGAAACTTTTTATCCTATTTGAACATTCCAGTTCAGTCCATGGTACCCTTATTTGGTTTACCATATAGGCCCCAGCCTGCTTTAGGGGAAATGTAGAGTCAATGACAATTTAGTTTTCAAAGCCCTCCCAGTGCTATTCTGGTCTCGTTTGTTCTTCTGGATCTGCTGGGGCTCTGGTTCAATCCCTGTGCATGTTGCTGGGGTTGCCCTGTGCGGCGGGGGTAGGTTAAGGAAACGCCGGGTGCTGGGTGTGGTCTCTGCGCCGTGGTCAGCAGAGCCTTTGTGGCCTGGGTGTGATGCTGAGGGCCAGGCTTGAGCGGAGCTGCTGTGGCATGGATCAGTAGGAATCTCCTCACTGGGTCTTCAGTGAGATACCCTTCTCAGTCCTTTCACCAGAGAAAATAGGCTCGTTTTCTTTTCTTTTTTGTCCCTGCAGGTTTTGGCAGTTACAGGTTGCAGGGTTCTCTGGGCCCATCCAGGAGATGAGAGAAAAAGAAAACTCAGGGCCTTGTACAGCGTCACCCCCAAAGTCCCGAGGTTCCTGGACAGCCTTTCTTCCTCTACACTTCCTAGAGTCCTCTTATGTCTGTTAAATTTTTTCCAGGGTGTCTAGTTGTATTTAGAGGGCAGATGCCACCTCGTCATAGAATGCCAGGGTCCACTCTCCAGGCATTTGGAACGAGTTGCCACGAGGTCCTCGGGAGGGTGTGACAGTTCACACGCCCACCAGCAGCTTTCCACGTCTCCATTTCCTCTGCCCCTGACAGCATCTAATGTTATGATTTTTGTTTGTAAATTTGGCTTTTGGTTCCTTTATGAGGGGATTAATTAATACAGGCTGCTGGCTCCTTCCCACGAATCCAAACCTTGGAGATGCCATCAAAGGGATGACAGTTGATGGAGCCCAGAACCTAAGAGGACCCCTGAGAGCCTTGCGGAGGCTGGGCAAACGTGGTGGAGTCTGGGACAGGAGGGGAATCACAGTCTGAGTGGAGGAGGCCACACAGCACAACCGGGGCCAGACTGCAGCTCTCTGCTCCGGGGCCCACCTGGGGCTGTCATCTGCCAGCCCTGCTTTCCTGTAGAAGATCCCACCCGTACCAGCCCCAGGAATCTAGGCAAGGCCAGAGCACCTCAGGAGCCTCCTGGAGTGAGGGCCACGACACCTGGGCAGGCTGGCTGGTGGCCCCTGGGCAGCCTTCCTCCCCAGCCCAAGGACAGCCAATTACAGCACAGGGCAGCCCTGGACAGACAGCACCAGCTAGAAGGACAGGGGCGTTCCCTGCAGACCAGAGCAGCCCCCGGGGATGAGCAAAGAGGGCCCCAGTCATCCTGCCAGAGGCTCTGCCCCCAGGAGCCCCTGCCTGCCTCCCTGAAGCCCACAAGGAAGGTGTCAACTGGGGCCTAAGACGAAGGCAGTTGACCATACCCAGGGAACAGAGAGCGGCCTGAGGAAACGAGACAGCGAGGGGAGTGAACTCCGGGAGGGAAAAACCCCAAGGTTTTTCCTTGGAGGAGGGAGCAGATGAGCGGATAAGACCGGTAAATCCGTCACATACCCTCAGGACGCAGGGAGAGCGCGGCTGGAATTGGCAGTTATGCAGAAGATGCAGCCGGGAATACTGGACTGGAACATGCGGGCGCTTAAGTGATGAACTTGGTGGGAAGGTTGGAGACCAGAAAATGAATGAGTGAGGCAGGTCAGGCTCTGAGCTCTTCTAGAAGGAGCTGAAGGGGTTGAGGAGGCAGAGGTGAGGGAGGAAAAATATTCAGTGCTTAAAAGAGGAAAAATGAATAGATAAGAGGAAGTATCTGAAAAATGATTAGGAAATTTCCCCAATTAAGAAAAGATGCACATCCTCAAACTGAAAGGGCCTGCAGAGTGTTAATTACATTTTAAAGTTAAAATCTTATGTGTACTTTCAAAGAAAAGCATCTACATTTTGAGTCAAAATTGCTAAAAACTTCCAAAGAGAAAAAGCAGGTAACCCGCACAGGAACGGGAGTGGTGCTGACATTAGAATCGCGGCACAGACAACGGATGCAAGAAGAAAGGGAGTGACAGCTTCAGACGCGAGAGGAAAGGACCCTGGAACCCAGGGCTGTGTCCTGCTCACCGCCATGAAATATGGGCACGCAGGAAGCCATCCTCAGTCCTATCAGCCCCCTTGAGAGTCAACCCCAGAAACACTCTTGGAGAAATATTTCAGCAAGAAAAAGGAACCGGGGAGGATGCTGCCAGGTCTAGGGAGGAGTGATGCTTCCCCAGCGTGGATGGTTCACTGCCATCTAAGTAAGCAATGACCTCCGCGTGTGCCGCACAGTCCAGCTTCCTCAGAGGCGGTGGTGGCCTGGTGGAGGAATGTGGGCTGGCTGGGAGGCCACAGAGAATTACTGTTTCCATTAAAAGGAAATGTGTTCTGGCCGGGAGCCCTGGCTCACACTGTAATCCCAGCATTTTGAGAGGCTCAGGCGGGTGGATCGCTTGAGGTCAGGAGTCTGAGACCAGCCTGGCCAACCTGGTAAAACCCCGTCTCTGCTAAAAATACAAAACTTAGCTGGGCGTGGTGGCGGGCGCCTGTAATCCCAGCACTTTGGAAGGCAGAGGCGGGCGGATCACTTGAGGCTAGGAGTTCGAGACCAGACTGACCAACATGGGGAAACCCCATGTCTACTAAAAATACAAAAATTAGCCTGGCATGGGGGCACATGCCTGTAGTCCCAGCTACTCGGGAGGCTGAGGCAGGAGAATCGCTTGAACCCGGGAGGTGGATGTTGCAGTGAGCCGAGATTACACCACTGCACTCCAGCCTGGGCAACAGAGCAAGACCCTGCCTAAAAAAAGAAAAAAAGTGTCACATGGAGACGTGTGTCTGTTTGGGACTGTTTTCCAGCCTTTCCACACTCTTCCCCTCCCCATCTGTCCCTCCATCTCCACCAAGCTGTGTTTTGATGTTGTGTTTGCATGATTTGGTGTATCTGGCATTTTAACATTTCATCCTTGCCACTATTTATTATTTTCTGTTTCTTCGTAGTAGCCACTAAATATCAGGTGATATCTCATTGTGGTTTTGATTTGCATTTATCTAATAATTAGTGATATTTAGTGTCTTTTCATATGCTCATTGGCCACATTTGCCTGTTTTTAAATCAGGTAATTTGTTGATTTGTTGTTGAACCATGGAGACATATTTTTAAACCACAACAGCTATCTTGCAGATTGCGGTGAGAACTAAAAGATTTATGTATGCAAATCATATTACCTGTCACGTAGTAGGCACTCAAAAATTATTACTTGTCTTCTTAGGGTTGTTATGTTAAATAATGTTATGTTAATAACATATGTAAAACTGCTTCTTAAATTATAAAGTGCTATGCAAATGTGAGTTAATACTACAAAGCTGTATGCAAAATATTTTAATATTTTTCTGAGGTTCTCCATACTTAAATATATAAATCTTTCCATCTCTAGACTTTATTCTTTTTTTAGCTGTAATCCCTTTTTTCCATTTTACTTCAAGTTTTATCAAAAAAAAAAAATAGCAGCCAAAATAGAACAAGTAAAGACGGAGAAACAATAACTAATTTCACTAAAGCAAAGTCAGAGTAAGATCTATTTAAAAATAAAACGTGAAGAAAAGCTGCAATGGATTACACTATTGAAAAATCCTAAGACAACCAGAACTGCCGTTCCTTCAGAGAATGTGAGTGATGTTGAAAGATTAATAACATTTGGATAACATTAATTACAGTGATGTTATAAACTCTGGTATTCCAGTTGCCATAACAACCCGCTATATGTTGGTTTTCTAATGACATTTCGAACAAGTGTTGAGGCGAACTGCATCACTTCAGAACTTTGATTGCTGTCACTCAGTGATTTTAAAATTGAATTGTTTTGTTCTTAAAGAGTCAGAATATGTCACTGTCTTCAGAAATATTCTCAAAATTATGGGGAGGAAGTGATACACATTCCTATACAATTATAGAGCACTCAAAAAAAAAGAAATGTATTTTGTTTTTAATACAAAATTAACAGGTTTTTTCTATAGGGAATAGAAAAAAACAGAAAGGAGAAAGATTATGCTTCATGCTTCTCAGAAGACTTTGTTCCCTTGCAGAATTATTTGACAATAAAATTCTTTCTAGAAAAACTCACTTTTCTTGCTTATATTTCTCTCGTCTCCATTCTCTCCTTTCTTTTCACCTCCCTATTTCTTTCTTCCAGTGAATTC